>NW_003571060.1:622731-804915 GCF_000001405.40 Homo sapiens | reverse complement strand
TGGCCTGTATGTACACATCCAGATGGCCGGTTCCTGCCTTAACTGATGACATTCCACCACGAAAGAAATGAAAATGGCCTGTTCTTGCCTTAAGTGATGACATTATCTTATGAAATTCCTTCTCCTGGCTCATCCCGGCTCAAAAGCTCCCCTACTGAGCACCTTGTGAACCCCACTCCTGCCCGCCAGAGAACAACCCCCTTTTGACTGTAATTTTCCTTTACCTACCCAAATCCTATAAAACGGCCGCACTCCTATCTCCCTTTGCTGACTCTCTTTCTGGACTCAGCCCGCCTGCACCCAGGTGAAATAAACAGCCTTGTTGCTCACACAAATCCTGTTTGGTGGTCTCTTCACACGGACGTGAGTGAAATTTGGTGCCATAACTCGAATCAGGGGATCTTCCTTAGGAGATCAATCCCCTGTCCTCCTGCTCTTTGCTCCATGAGAAAGATCCACCTACGACCTCTCGTCCTCAGACCAACCAGCCCAAGGAACATCTCACCAATTTTAAATCCAGTAAGCAGCCTCTTTTTACTCTCTTCTCCAACCTCTCTCACTATCCCTCAACCACTTTCTCCTTTCCACTCTTCAATCTCTCCCTTCTCTTAATTTCAGTTCCTTTCCTTTTCTGGTAGAGACAGGAGACGCGCTTTATTCGTGGACCCAAAACTCCAGCGCCGGTCATGGACTCGGGAAGGCAGCCTTCCCTTGGTGTTTAATCACGCAGGGACACCTCTCTGATTATTCACCCACGTTTCAGAGGTGTCTGACCACATGGGGATGCCTGCCTTGGTCCTTCACCCTTAGTGGCAAGTACTGCTTTTCTGGGGGGGCAAGAACCCCCAACTCCTTCTCTGTGTCTCTACCCCTTCTCTGCTTTTCTGGGGGGGCAAGAACCCCCCAACCCCTTCTCCTTCACCCTTAGTGGCAAGTACCGCTTTTCTAGGGGGCAAGAATCCCCCGATCCCTTATTTCTGTGCCCTGACGTCTTATCTCTGCACCCCGATCCCTTATTTCCACACCCCGACCTCTTGTCTCTGCACCCCAATCCCTTACTTCTGTGCCCTGACCCCTTTCCCGCTTTTCTGGAAGGTAAGAACCCCTGAACCCCTTCCCTCCATGTCTCTACTCTCTCTTTTCTCTGTGCTTGCCTCCTTCAGTATGGGCAACCTTCCACCCTCCATTCCTCCTTCTTCTCCCTTAGCCTGTGTTCTTAAAAACCTAAAACCTCTTCAACTCACACCTGACCTAAAACCTAAATGCCTTATTTTCTTCTGCAATGCTGCTTGACCCCAATACAAACTTGACAGTGGTTCCAAATAGCCAGAAAACGGCACTTTCAATTTTTCCATCCTACAAGATCTAAATAATTCTTGTTGTAAAATGGGCAAATGGTCTGAGGTGCCTGACATCCAGGCATTCTTTTACACATCGGTCCCTCCCTAGTCTCTATGCCCAGTGCAACTCGTCCCAAATCTTCCTTCTTTCCCTCCCGCCTGTCCCGTCAGTCCCAACCCCAAGCATCGCTGAGTCTTTCTAATCTTCCTTTTCTACAGACCCATCTGACATCTCCCCTCCTCGCCAGGCCGAGCTGGGTCCCAATTCTTCCTCAGCCTCCGCTCCTCCACCCTATAATCCTTTTATCACCTCCCCTCCTCACACCCGGTCCAGCTTACAGTTCCATTCCATGACTAGCCCTCCCCCAACTGCCCAGCAATTTCCTCTTAAAAAGGTGGCTGAAGCTAAAGGCATAGTCAAGGTTAATGCTCCTTTTTCTTTATCTGACCTCTCCCAAATCAGATAGTGTTTAGGCTCTTTTTCATCAAATTTAAAAACACAGCCCAGTTCATGGCTCATTTGGCAGCAACCCTGAGACGCTTTACAGCCCTAGACCCTAAGTCAAAAGGCCGTCTTATTCTCAATATACATTTTATTACCAAATCTGCTCCCAACATTAAATAAAGCTCCAAAAATTAAATTCTGTCCCTCAAACCCCACAACAAGACTTAATTAACCTCGCCTTCAAGGTGTACAGTAATAGAGTAGAGGCAGCCAAATAGCAACATATTTCTGAGTTGCAATTCCTTGCCTCCACTCCAGTATCCAGATGAGACAAACCCCAGCCACATCTCCAGCACACGAGAACTCCAAACGCCTGAACCGCAGCTGCCAGGGGTTCCTCCAGAACCTCTTCCCCCAGGAGCTTGCTACAAGTACTGGAAATCTGGCCACTGGGCCAAGGAATGTCCACAGCCTGGGATTCCTCCTAAGCCGCATCCCATCTGTGCGGGACCCCACTGAAAATCGGACTGTTCAACTCACCTGGCAGCCACTCCCAGAGCAGCTAGAACTCTGGCCCAAGGCTCTCTGACTCCTTCCCAGATCTTCTCGGCTTAGCAGCTGAAGACTGACACTGCCCGATCCCGATCGCCTCAGAAGCCTACAGGACCATCACAGTCTAGGTAACTCTCACAGTGGAAGGTAAGCCCGTCCCCTTCTTAATCAATATGGAGGCTACCCACTCCACATTACCTTCTTTTCAAGGGCCTGTTTCCCTTGCCTCCATAACTGTTGTAGGTATTGACAGCTAGGCTTCTAAACCTCTTAAAACTCCCCAACTCTGGTGCCAACTTAGACAATACTCTTTCAAGCACTCCTTTTCAGTTATCCCCACCTGCCCAGTTCCCTTATTAGGCTGAGACACTTTAACTAAATTATCTGCTTCCCTGACTGTTCCTGGACTACAGCTATATCTCATTGCTGCCATTCTTCCCAATCCAAAGCCTCCTTTGCTTCCTCCTCTTGCATCCCCCCACCTTAACCCACAAGTATAGGATACCTCTACTCCCTCCTTGGTGACCGATCATGCACCCCTTACCATCTCATTAAAACCTAATCACCCTTACCCCACTCAACGCCAATATCCCATTCCGCAGCACGCTTTAAAAGGATTAAAGCCTGCTACAGCATGGCCTTTTAAAGCCTATAAACTCCCCTTACAATTCTCCCATTTTACCTGTCCTAAAACCAGACAAGGCTTACACATTAGTTCAGGATCTGCGCCTTATCAACCAAATTGTTTTGCCTATCCACCCCGTAGTGCCAAACCCATATACTCTCCTATCCTCAATACCTGCCTCTACAACCCATTATTCTGTTCTGGATCTCAAACGTGCTTTCTTTACTATTCCTTTGCACCCTTCATCCCAGCCTCTCTTCGCTTTCACTTGGACTGACCCTGACACCGATCAAGCTCAGCAAATTACCTGGGCTGTACTGCCGCAAAGCTTCACAGACAGCCCCCATTACTTCAGTCAAGCCCAAATTTCTTCCTCCTCTGTTACCTATCTCGGCATAATTCTCATAAAAACACACGTGCTCTCCATGCCGATCGTGTCTGACTGATCTCTCAAGCCCCAGCACCTTCTACAAAACAACAACTCCTTTCCTTCCTAGGCATGGTTAGCGTGGTCGGAACTCTTACACAAGAGCCAGGACCGCACCCTGTAGCCTTTCTGTCCGAACAACTTGACCTTACTGTTTTAGCCTAGCCCTCATGTCTGTGAGCAGCGGCTGCCGCTGCTTTAATAGTTTTAGAGGCCCTCAAAATCACAAACTATGCTCAACTCACTCTCTACAGTTCTCATAACTTCCAAAAATCTATTTTCTTCCTCACACCTGACGCATATACTTTCTGCTTCCCGGCTCCTTCAGCTACACTCACTCTTTGTTGAGTCTCCCACAATCACCATTGTTACTGGCCCATACTTCAATCCGGCCTCCCACATTATTCCGGATACCACACCTGACCCCCATGACTGTATCTCTCTGATCCACCTGACATTCACCCCATTTCCCCACATTTCCTTCTTTCCTATTCCTCACCCTAATCACATTTAGTTTATTGATGGCAGTTCCACCAGGCCTAATCGCCACTCACCAGCAAAGGCAGGCTATGCTATAGTATCTTCCACATCTATCATTGAGGCTACCGCTCTGCCCCCTCCACTACCTCTCAGCAAGCCGAATTAGTTGCCTTAACTCAAGCCCTCACTGATGCAAAAGGACTATGCATCAATATTTATACTGACTCTAAATATGCCTTTCATATTCTGCCCCACCATGCGGTCATATGGGCTGAAAGAGGTTTCCTCACTACACAAGGGTCCTCCATCTTTAATGCCTCCTTAATAAAAACTCTGCTCAAGGCCGCTTTACTCCCAAAGGAAGCTGGAGTCATTCACTGCAAAGGCCATCAAAAGTCATCAGATCCCATTGCTCTAGACAATGCCTATGCTGACAAGGTGGCTAGACAAGCAGCTAGCTTTCCAACTTCTGTCTCTCACATCTATGCTTATGCTGATAAGGTAGCTAGACAAGCAGCTAGCATGCCAATTTCTGTCCCCCACAGCCAGTTTTTCTCCTTCTCATCAGTCACTCCCACCTACTCCCCCACTGAAACTTCCACCCATCAATCTCTTCCCACACAAGGCAAATGGTTCTTAGACCAAGGAAAATACCTCCTTCCAGCCTCACAGGCCCATTCTATTCGGTTGATATTTCATAGCCTCTTCCATGTAGGTTACAAGCTGCTAGCCCATCTCTTAGAACCTCTCATTTCCTTTCCATCCTGGAAATCTATCCTCATGGAAACCACTTATCAGTGTTCCATCTGCTATTCTACTACCCCTCAGGGATTGCTCAGGTCCCCTCCCTTCCCTACACATCAGGCTCGGGGATTTGCCCCCGCCCAGGACTGGCAAATTGACTTTACTCACATGCCCTGAGTCAGGAAACTAAAATACCTCTTGGTCTGGGTAGACACTTTCACTGGATGGGTAGAGGCCTTTCCCACAGGGTCTGAGAAGGCCACCGAGGTCATTTCTTCCCTTCTGTCAGACATAATTCCACAGTTTGGCCTTCCCACCTCTATACAGTCTGATAGCACACCGGCCTTTATTAGTCAAATCAGCCAAGCAGTTTTTCAGGCTCTTGGTATTCAGTGAAACCTTTATATCCCTTACAGTCCTCAGTCTTCAGGAAAAGTAGAATGGACTAATGGTCTATTAAAAACACACCTCACCAAGCTCAGCCACCAACTTAAAAAAGACTGGACAATACTTTTACCACTTTCTTTTCTCAGAATTCAGGCCTGTCCTCAGAATGCTACAAGGTACAGCACATTTGAGCTCCTGTATAGACACTGCTTTTTATTAAGCCCCAGTCTCATTCCAGACACCAGACCAACTTAGATTGTGCCCCAAAAAACTTGTCATCCCTACTATCTTCTGTCTAGTCATACTCCTATTCACCATTCTCAACTACTCACACATGCCCTGCTCTTGTTTACACTGCTGGTTTACACTGTTTTTCCAAGCCATCACAGCTGATATCTCCTGGTGCTATCCCCAAACCGCCACTCTTAACTCTTGAAGTAAATAAATAATCTTTGCTGGCAAGGCTATGCTGAACCTCCTTAGGCACTCTCTAATCAGATGTCCTGAGTCGTCCCAATTCTTAGACCTTTTATACCTGTTTTTCTCCTTTCCTTATTCCATTTAGTTTTTCAATTCATACAAAACTGCATCCAGGCCATCACCAGTAATTCTAAATGAAAAATGTTTCTTCTAACAATCCCACAATATCACCCCTTAACACAAAATCTTCCTTCAGCTTAATCTCTCCCACTCTAGGTTCCCACGCCGCCCCTAATCCCGCTCGAAGCAGCCCTGAGAAACATCGCCCATTCTCTCTCCATACCACCCCCCAAAATTTTCACCATCCCAACACTTTACCACTATTTCGTTTTATTTTTCTTATTAATATAAGAAGACAGGAATGTCAGGCCTCTGAGCCCAAGCTAAGCCATCATATCCCCTGTGACCTGCACGTACACATCCAGATGGCCGGTTCCTGCCTTAACTGATGACATTCCACCACGAAAGAAATGAAAATGGCCTGTTCCTGCCTTAACTGATGACATTATCTTGTGAAATTCCTTCTTCTGGTTCATCCTGACTCAAAAGCTCCCCTACTGAGCACCTTGTGACCCCCCACTCCTGCCCACCAAAGAACAACCCCCCTTTGACTGTAATTTTCCTTTACCTACCCAAATCCTATAAAACGGCCCCACCCCTATCCCCCTTCGCTGACTCTCTTGTCGGACTCAGCCTGCCTGCACCCAGGTGAAATAAACAGCCTTGTTGCTCACACAGAGCCTGTTTGGTGGTCTCTTCACACGGACGCGCATGAAACAGACCAGCCTAGCCAACATGGTGAAACCCCGTCTCCACGAAAATACAAGAAATTAGCCGGGCGTGGCGGTGCGCACCTGTAGTTCCAGCTACTCGGGAGGCTGAGGCAGGGGAATCACTTGAACCTGGGAGGCGGAGATTGCAGTGAGCCCAGATCACACCAGCGTAGCGACAGAGTGAAACTCTGTCTCAAAAAAAAAAAAAAAAAAAAAGAAAAAGAAGTTTTCTAAGGCCAGGCGCAGTGGCTCATGCCTGTAATCCAAGCACTTTTGGGAGGCTGAGGCGGGCAGATCACCTGAGGCCGGGAGTTCGAGACCGGCCTGACCAACATGGTGAAACCCTGTCTCTACTAAAAATACAAAAATGAGCTGGGCATGGCGGCGGGTGCCTGTAATCCCAGCTTCTTGGGTGCGGGGGGGATCTGTTCTGCAGATCCCAGCTGTACGACAGATGAGACACGTCCTCAGACACCAATATTCAGTGAAAGAGCAGGCCAGGGGGCTGCCGGCACTAGGAGCCAAAGAGAGTGCAGCCCCTCTAAGCTGGCAACGCTTGCATTTATTTAGCACAGATTTAATTAACAAAGGCTTTGAGTCAACACACCTGTGGGTAATTAACCTGGTCACCGCCCCCCGCCACCTCCCTGGAGAGGGCCATCTTGCCCGAGAATGATCAAAGGTTGATTTTAGGACCATATGACTAAGCAAGCTATTTAGATAAAATACTCCGCATTCCTTTGTATCTGCGCCCTAAGCTGTTTGGCTCCTGAAAAGAGAATCTGGCTGCTTTCAGCCAAACTATCTGAAGCTATGCCAACCTCCCTGGCCTTCCAAGAAGGTTTGCTGCTTCCTATTCCTATAATTTCTTCTGCTACTCTGACTGATCTCCCACACTTGGGAGGTTGAGGCAGGAGAATCCCTTGAACCAGGGAGGCAGAGGTTGCAGTGAGCCGAGATCACACTACTGCACTCCAACTTGGGTGACAAGAGCGAGACTCCATCTCAGAAAAAAAAGTTAAAAAAAAATTGTAGGCCAGGCGTGGTGGCTCACGCCTGTGATCCCAGCACTTTGGGAGGCCAAGGCGGGTGGATCACCTGAGGTCCAGAGTTCGAGACCAGCCTGACCAACATGGAGAAACCCCGTCTCTTCTAAAAATATAAAATTAGCCAGGCGTGGTGGCGCATGCCTGTAATCCCAGCTGCTCTGGAGGCTGAGGCAGGAGAATGGCTTGAGCCCAGGAGGCGGAGGTTGCGGTGAGCCGAGACCGCACCATTGCACTCCAGCCTGGGCAACAAGAGTGAGACTCTGTCTCAGAAAAAAAAAAAAAAAAATTGTAGTAAAAACATAACATACAATTTACCATCTTAGCCATTGTAAGTGTACAGTATAGCAGTGTTAAATGTATTCACGGTGTTTTGAAACAGATCTCCAGAATATTTTCATCTTGTAAAACTGAAACTCTATGCCTAAAAGAGGAATCGTTCAACACATAGAAGTTTTATTTCAACCATTTTTGTTGTTGTTGTTGAGATGGAGTCTTGCTCTGTCACCAAGGCTGGAGTGCGGTGGTACGATCTTGGCTCACTGCAACCTCCGCCTCCTGGGTTCAAGCCATTCTCCTGCCTCAGCCTCCTCAGTAGCTGGTAATGCAGGTGCGTGCCACCACACCTGGCTAATTTTTGTATTTTTAGTAGAGACGGGGTTTTGCCATGTTGGCCAGGCTGGTCTCGAACTCCTGGCCTCGTGATCTGCCTGCCTTAGCCTCCCAAAGTGCTGGGATTTCAGGTGTGAGCCACTGCGCTCAGCCTGGGAAATGTATACTTCAGAGATTGTTGGATTTTCAGGGCCTTCTGTGGCTTGACGTCATCTGGAAAAGTGTGGTCATTGGGAAGATATTACTTTGATTGGTTGTCACTCATGCTTGGGTGTTTACTGAAATGAGTCTGATTGGATGACTTTTAGAAGCAAGGAGCTGCCTGACTGATGGTAACATAACAATATAAAACGTATGGAGTGGCCGGGCTTTGTGGCTCACTCCTGTAATCCCAGCACTTTGAGAGGCTGAGGCAGGCAGATCACCCTGAGGTCAGAAGTTTGTGACCAGCTTGGCCAACATGGCGAAACCCGTCTGTACTAAAAATACAAAAATTATCTGCGTGTGGTGGCAGGTGCCTATAATCCCAGCTACTGGGGAGGCTGAGGCAGGAGAATTGCTGAACCCGGGAAAGAGAGGTTGCAGGGAGCCGAGGTCACGTCACTGCTCCCCAGCCTGGGTGACAGAGCAAGACCCCGTCTCAAAAAAAAAAAAAAAAAAAAAGAGCATCTTCACAGAGATGAGTTGTCATTGATGATGGGTTAAAAATCAGTTTTGGTGGCTACTTGTTACTGTGGTTACAGGACAATAAAATACTTTTCTGAAGAGCTCAGGAACTTTATTATTCTGAAAACGCTTTTTCCAAACAAGGTCCTTCTGTCAGCAAAACGACTTATATGAGTTTAATCTTATCCATCTCTGGGAATCTAGCCCCATTGTGTCTCTGTAATCCAAGTCCTGGACCTGACGTAAAGTCCCTCAACCCCCTTCATCCAAAATTGTGGCACTTTCCCTTTATTTATTTATTTATTATTTATTTGTTTGTTTACTTTTGAGACGGAGTCTCGCTCTGTGGCCCAGGCTGGAGTGTAGTGGCGTGATCTCAGCTCATTGCAAGCCCCGCCTCCCAGGTTCACGCCATTCTCCTGCCTCAGCCCCTGGAGTAGCTGGGACTACAGGCACCTGCCACCACACCTGGTGAAAAAAATCAGAACAAACTGAAGATATGGGCCAGAACTTGTATAAAGTGTGAAAAGCAGTCAATAAAGAAAGTTAGAAATACTTTGCATTTTTTTTTTAATCACAGGACCTGAGTTAAGCCAAGAATACAGTAGAAATTTTATCAAGTAGAGATAAGCTCTCAGTAAAGGATAAAAGTGGGCCTAAGTCCCTTCAGTTTCACTGGAAGTAGGACCCTTACATTTTATAATTATATTTTCATACATAAGCTACTGGACAATGAAGTAAATAGCAATCAGTGAAAGAGCCACATATGACCAACTTAGATTTCCTTGAGTAAAGTCTGTCAAGGGTAAAGCTGTGAAAGTTTATAAGAAAAAAGAATGGGGAATTATTTGGAAGACCATTTGAGTTTTGTACACAAGAATTTAATGTTTGCACACTTGATAATATATGTGAATATCATCAAAACTAAGTGAAAAAATAAATTAATGAGGTGAAACACATGCCTGTATTCCTTGTATGAAAATCCGGTAGAAATAGGGTTTGTGAAATAAATAGGGTAATCCTCCTGTAGGATTATGACTTTCACTCTTATCAATTTGTAGATGAACACAGCAGGAGGCTGAGGTAGGAGGATTGCTTGAGACCAGGAGTTCAAGACCAGCTTAGGCAACATAGGGAGAGCCTCACTTCAACAAAAAAAAATAAAGGAGGGGGGTTATTGAATATATTTGGCATGCTTACCAACCATTTATATTTGGGGAAGACACATTTAAAAATATAAAAAGAAGGCTGGGCGCAGTGGCTCACATCTGTAATCCCAGCACTTTGGGAGGCCGAGGCGGGCAGATCACGAGGTCAGAAGTTTGAGACCAGCTTGGCCAATGTGATGAAACCCCGTCTCTACTAAAAATACTGTAAAAGTAGCTGGGCGTGATGGTGGGAGCCTGCAATCCCAGCTACTTGGGAGGCCGAGGCAGGAGAATCACTTGAACCCAGGAGGCAGAGGTTGCAGTGAGCCGAGATCGTGCCACTGCACTCCAGCCTGGGCAACAGAGTGAGACTCTGTCTCAAATAAAAATAAAAATAAAAATAAATAAAATAAATAAAAAAAGAGAAGAACAATGAAGGAAGAAATTAAACAGGATATAAAAAATCAGAAGACAGATAAGATGGAAAACCATAACTTATGTGCAGAAAGGTGGGTGCAAATCGATCAGTCCTGCATAAGAAAACACCATTTGATTGGTTTGAACATGCATCTGGCCAGGCGTGGTGGCTCATGCCTATAATCTCAGCACTTTGGGAGGCCAAGGT
Organism: Homo sapiens; assembly: GCF_000001405.40. NCBI lineage: Eukaryota > Metazoa > Chordata > Mammalia > Primates > Hominidae > Homo > Homo sapiens. The sequence continues at coordinate 794,565 of NW_003571060.1, read as the reverse complement.
GGGTGGATCACCTGAGGTCAGGAGTTCGAGACCAGCCTGGCCAACACAGTGAAACCCCATCTCTACTAAAAATACAAAAATTAGCTGGGTGCAGTGGTATGTGCCTGTAATTCCAGCTACTTGGGAGGCTGAGGCACAAGAATCACTTGAACCCAAGAGGTTCAATGAGCCGAGATTGCTCCACTGCACTCCAGCCTGGGTGACAGAGCCAGACTCTGTCTCAAAAAAAAAAAAAAGTAGATTCAAGCTTCTTAGTGAGCTTTTCTCTCTTGTGTCCTTCAAGTAGCTTTGTCGGACTCCACAGTCCTGGCTCCTCTCTGCCTTCACCTCCAGGTGTTTACTTGCAGACACTTGGTGTTCGTGCAAAGGTCAATCCTGGCTGACACATCTGTTGGCTCCAGCTCGGTTCAGCCACATCTGCCGAGGCTTCCTTGTTCAGTGCCGTATGGCTGTGCCAATTTTCAACCAGTATGGCCAAGAGAGCCACGAGGACCAGTCCTGCCACGGCCATGCGGATCAAGTTCTGCGTCGTGTAATCTTGGTGGATGGAGTCTGGAGACACAATTCAAGGAGATGAATGGTTGGTGGTTGTGTTCCATTCCATCCCAACCCCAGAGCCCTGAAACGGGAGCTCATTTTCCTTTTCGCTTGCCAAAATGGGACTCCCTCAAGCATCCCCTCAATGAGCTCATGCTTCGCCAGCACCACACTGATCAGTCAGCAAGACTGTGTTCACGGGCAAGGAACTGTGCTTCCCAGGGAAGTGCTATAAACTGGGAAGGAGGTGATTATGGGCAGGTTGTGTGTGTTTTTTTTTTTTTTTTTTTTTGAGATGGAGTCTCACTCTGTTGCCCAGGCTGGAGTGCAGTGGCGTGATCTCGGCTCACTGCAACCTCCGCCTCCCTGGTCAAGTGATTCTCCTGCCTCAGCCTCCCAAGTAGCTGGGATTACAGGCGCCCACCACCACCACGCCTGGTTAATTTTTGTATTTTTAGTGGAGATGGGGTTTCACTATGTTGGCCAGGCTGGTCTCGAACTCCCGACCTCAGGTGATCCACCTGCCTCAGCCTCCCAATGTGCTCAGATTACAGGCGTGAGCCATCGTGCCCAACCATGTTTTTTTTTTTTTTCTTGAGGTGGAGTCTCGTTCTGTCACCCAGGCTGGAGTGCAATGGCGTGATCTTGGCTCACTGCAACAGCTGCCTCCTGGGTTCAAGTGATTCTCCTGCCTCAGCCTCCTGAGTAGCTGGGACGACAGGCTCACGCCACCACGCCCGGCCAGGCAGGTTGTGTTTTCTTTTCATTCTCTCCTCACTTGGTGAATTCACTAAATACCTAATCACATCTCTACAACACCAGAACAAGGTGGAATCCTAATAAGAATGTGTGCAGCCTGGCCAGGCGCGGTGGCTCACGCCTGTAATCCCAGCACTTTGGGAGGCCGAGGCAGGTGGATCACCTGAGGTCGGGAGTTCGAGACCAGCCTGGCCAACATGGTGAAACCCTGTCTGTGTGGTCCCAGCTACTCAGGAGGCTGAGGCAGGAGAATTGCTTGAACCTGGGAGGCGAAGGTTGCAGTGAGTCGAGATCGTGCCACTGCACTCCAGCCTTGGCGAAAGAGCAAGACTCTATCCCGGAAAATAAAATGAAATAAATAAAATGAAACAAACTGAGTTAGCCCTTCTGTTCTCCACAGACTAAGTTTTCAATGAACCCTGTCTGGAGAACTCTAGCGAGGAAGTGAAAGCGGAAAGTGTGGTGGGGAAGCCTTTCTCTCTCCACTGTCCTGGAGTGAGAGCCTTTGCCTCTCTTCACTTCACTCTCAGTGCACGTCTTCATATTCCTGCCCGGTGGCAAGGCCCTGGACAGCCAACCCAGACACAGGGCTGGACTGGGCGGTACCTACCTGTGACCACAAGCTCCAAGGCATTACTGGGGAAGGACCACAGGTAGGGGCTCCTGTTGTACCAACCGTAGCACCTGTAGATCCCTGAGACATTGAGGTCCACAGGACCCAAAGAGAAGTTGGCCGGGTGTTCCCCACTTTGGTGCTGTGGCAGAGAAAGTTCTCCCTCCTTGGCCAGTGAAAATCTATCAAATGGGATGTGTGCTGAGCTGCACGTGAGGGAAATATTCTCTCCTGGCATCAACACCAGACCCCGATCTGCAGAGAGGAAGGGTTTGCCATACAAGCCTAAGAGAGAAAAGAGTGAGCTATTAGAAAGACCTTTTCTCCTTTATTCTTTTCTTCTTCTTATTATTGTTATTATTATATATTTTTTTGAGATGGAGTTTCGCTCTTATTGCCCAAGCTGGAGTGCAGTGGCGTGATCTCAGCTCACTGCAACCTCCGTCTCCCGGGTTCAAGCAATTCTCCTGCCTCAGCCTCCCGAGAAACTGGGATTACAGGTGCGTACCACCACGCCCAGCTAATTTTTGTATTTTTAGTAGAGACGGGGTCTCTCCATGTTGGTCAGGCTGGTCTCGAACTCCTGACCTCAGGTGATTTGCCCACCTTGGCCTCCCAAAGTGCTGGGATTACAGGCATGAGCAACTGTGCCCAGCCTATTATTGTTTTTTGAGATGGAGTCTCACTCTGTCACTGAGGCTGCAGTGCAGTGGCACGATCTCAGCTCACTGCAACCTCCACCTCCGAGGTTCAAGTGAGTCTCCTGCCTCAGCCTCCCGAGTAGCTGGGATTACAGGCACCCGCCACCACGCCCAGCTAATTTTTGTATTTTTAGTAAAGATGAGGTTTCTCCATGTTGGTCAGGCTGGTCTTGAATCCCTGACCTCAGGTGATCCACCTGCCTCAGCCTCCCAAAGTGCTGGGATTACAGGCGTGAACCACAGTGCCCAGCCTCTTTTTTCTTTTTTAGAATTTATTTATTTTAGAGAGGGTCTCACTCTGTCGCCCAGGCTGAGGGCAGTGGCATAATCACGGCTCACTGCAGCCTCGACCTCCCAGGCTCAGGTGATCCTACCATCTCAGCCTCTCAAGTAACTGAGACTACAGGTGGGTGCCACCATGCCCAGCTAATTTTTTGATTTTTTGTACAGATGGGGTCTTACTATGTTGCCCAGGCTGGTCTCCTGGGCTTAAGTGATCTGCCCATCTCGGCTTCTCAAAGTGCTGGGATTACAGGCGTGAGCCACGGCGCCCAGCCTCCCAAAGTGCTGGGATTACAGGCACGAGCCACGGTGTCTGGCCACAGTTACTACTTCAGCCAGGCTTTCAACAACAGCCAGCTCAACATCCACAGTCATGTTCCCATGGACAGTTTAAACCTTTGCTATGAGGAGATGAAATGGCACTTTGCTTCTGTGGTCTTGCCTGCAATGACCCATAACTCAGTCTAGTCATGAGCAAAACATCGGACAATTTCCAGTAGTGGGAGTACCCTTGAAAATAATGGACCACTACCCTCAAAACTGACAAGGTCATGGAAAACCAGCAACATCTGAGAAGCTGTGACAGCCAAGACAAACCTAAAGATACATGACACCTGCCGGGCACGGTGGCTCACGCCTGGAATCCCAGCACTTTGGGAGGCCAGGTGCGGTGGCTCATGCCTGTAATCCCAGCATTTTCGGGGGCCGGGCGTGGTGGCTCACGCCAGTAATCCCAGCACTTTGGGAGGCCAGGCGGGCGGATCACGAGGTCAGAAGATTGAGACCATCCTGGCTAACACAGTGAAACCCTATCTCTACTAAAAATACAAAAAATTAGCCAGGCGTGGTGGCGGGCGCCTGTAGTCCCAGCTACTCGGGAGGCTGAGGCAGGAGAATGGCGTGAACCCGGGAGGTTGGAGCTTGCAGTGAGCCGAGATTGTGCCACTGCACTCCAGCCTGGGCAACACAGCGGGACTCCATCTCAAAAAAAAAAAAAAAAAAAAAAATAAAGATACATGACACCTGAATGCAATGTGAAATCTTTTTGTGTGTGTGTGTGTGAGATGGAGTCTCGCCCTGTCGCCCAGCCTGGAGTGCAGTGGTGTGATCTTGGCTCACTGCAACCTCTGCCTCCTGGGTTCAAGCGATTCTCCTGCCTCAGCCTCCCAAGTAGCTGGGATTACAGGCGTGTGCCACCAGGCCTGGCCAATTTTTTCCATTTTTAGTAGAGACGAGGTTTCACTGTGTTGGCCAGGCTGGTCTCGAACTCCTGACCTCAGGTGATCCACCCACCTCAGCCACCCAAAGTGTTGGGATTACAGGCGTGAGCCACCGCGCCCAGCGATTGTTGCATTTTCAGTAGAGACGGGGAATTCACCATGTTGGCCAGGCTGGTCTCGAACTCCTGACCTTGGGTGATCCACCCGCCTCGGCTTCCCTAAGTGTTGGGATTACAGGCGTGAGCCACCACTCCCAGCCGCAATGTGAAATCTTGAATGGGATCCTGGAACAGAGAAAGACTATCAGGTAAAAACTAAGAAAATGTAAATAAACTGTAGACTGTAGCTGGGAATGTGTCGATATTTGTTCATTAATGGTAAGAAATGTGCCATACTAATGTAAGATGTTAACTCTGGGGGAAGTGGGGTGCCAGATGGCTGAGAACTCTCTGAAGCAATCATCAATTTTTTTTTGTTTGTAAATCTAAAACTTCTTGAAAAATACTCTATTAAAAATAAGAAAAAAATCACACCAGGGCTGTGGACCCTGGATGTTTCCTTACCTGTCACTACCAGCTCCAGGGTGTCACTGTACCGGAACCTGTAGTGCCCTATCCTATATTGGCACTGATAGCGCCCTGCCTTGTTTGCGTCCATGTGGTCAATGACGAACTCAGGATCAGTCTCATTCCAAAACTTCAGTCTTCTGCCTATCTCTCGGTACGTGGAGTTTTTTATGATCATCAGCTGGGTCAGGTAAGCTTCACGAATGGCCTGGCACTGGATTTTCACAGATCCATCCAAGGGAATCACAGGACTCGATTTGGCAGATATGAAAGGCATGGGAAAGTCCCCTGGAAGAAAAGAAAGCCCAGACTGAGGTGGCTTGCCATGGGGAAGCCATTCCTTTCCTTCTCTGTGGGAGAAGTAAAAATACATTAGGGTGTGAAGAACCTACCATTCTTTATTTAAAAAAAAATTTAGGCCGGGTGCGGTAGCTCACGCCTGTATTCCCAGCACTTTGGGAGGCCGAGGCGGGTGGATCACAAGGTGACGATATCAAGACCATCCTGGCTAACACGGTGAAACCCCGTGTCTACTGAAAATACAAAAAATTAGCAGGACGTGGTGGCGGGCGCGTGTAGTCCCAGCTACTCGGGAGATTGGGGCAGGAGAATGGCGTGAACCTGGGAGGCAGAGCTTGCAGTGAGCCGAGATCACACCACTGCACTCCAGCCTGGGCAACAGAGTGAGACTTCGTCTCAACAACAACAACAAAAAAATTAAAAAAAGAGAAAAATTTAAATAATTTGTGATGCTGAGGTTTGGAGTACGATTGATCCTGTCACCCAGGTACTGAGCATAGTACCCAATAGGCAGTTTTTCAACCCCCTTTCTTCCCCCCCATCTAGTAGTCTCCAGTGTCTATGGTTGCCATCTTTATTTTTTATTGTTATTATTTTTCGAGACAGAGTCTTGTTTTGTCGCCCAGGCTGCAGTGCAGTGGTGCAATCTCAGCTCCTCCGCCTCCCGGGTTCAAGCAATTCTGCTGCCTCAGCCTTCCGAGTAGCTGGGATTACAGGTGCCCACCACCATGCCTGGATAATTTTTGTATTTTTAGTAGAAACGGGGTTTCACCATGTTGGCCAGGCTGGTCTTGAACTCCTGACTTCAAGTGATCCACCTGCCTCGGCCTCCCAAAGTGCTGGGATTACAAGCGTGAGCCACCGCACCTGGCTGCAACTGGGGTTTTTGCAGAGGCAACACTGAAGCCAGGGGGACCTCCGCAGGCATTGACCCCAGAGCAGTCGGGTGCCGTTACCACAGCCCCCGCAGAGGCCACGGGCATGGTGCGTGGGAGCAGTGAGATGGCTCCACCTGCCGTTACTCCACAAGGCTCAAGGCCAGTTTCCAGCATAGTGGCCCAGCTTCTGCCTGAACTCTGCCCGGGGTCGTGGCTGCATGCTTCCCTGGAAAGCACCCAGATGGTGAAGTGGGTGACTCCACCCACCCCTGCCACTTGCAGCCAGACGGGCCAGGCTTGCTGGGTCTTCCAGCGCTGCAGACCCCCTTCTGCCTGAACTCTGTGGGGTGTGCAGCTCTGTGTTTTTCTTTTCTTTTCTTTTTTTGTTGAGATGAAGTCTCACTCTGTTGCCCAGGCTGGAGTGCAGTGGTGTGATCTTGGCTCACTGCAAGCTCCGCCTCCCGGGTTCACACCATTCTTCTGCCTCAGCCTCCCGAGTAGCTGGGACTACAGGCGCCCGCCACCACGCCTGGCTAATTTTTTTTTGTATTTTTAGTAGAGACGGGGTTTCACCATGTTATCCAGGATGGTCTCAGTCTCCTGACTTCGCAATCTGCCCATCTCGGCCTCCTAAAGTACTGGGATTACACGTGTGAGCCACCATGCCCAGTAGCTCTGTGTTCCCCTGGGAAGCACTGAGATGGCAGATCATGTGGCTCCAATCACCCTTGCTGAGAAGGACTCACCACGTTAGGTGGCGACCAAGCCGTGAGGAGCCCTCATTCTCAGAACGTTCAGAGGGGTGAAACACCTGATTTCATCAGCCTGCAGAGGTGCGGGGTGGTCCTCCCTCCATAGGGCTGGCCGGGGAAGGATACAGCCTGTCTGCCCACCATGCCCTGCCTGAGGGAGCCCCGTGGGCAGAACAATCCTAACAAAGGAAACAGTGGGTGCAGAGCCAGTGACTGTAGGAGGCTCCTCCAAGGCCCAAGAATGGACCAGGCGAGGGAGTCACCCCTCCTCACAACCACAGAGCACTACTGCCGACTTTGTCAAAATACAAGAGTTAGGGGGCCAAGGCAGGCAGATTGCTTGAGCCCAGGAGTTTGAGACCAGCCTGGTAAACATGGTGAAACCCCATCTCTACAAAAAAAAAAAAAAAATTACAAAAATTTTCTCTTTATGGTGCTGCGTGCTTGTAGTCCCAGCTACTCAGGAGGCTGAGGCAGGAGGATCACTTAGCCTGATAGGTAGAGGCTGCAGTGAGCCGAGATTGTGCCACTGTGCTCCAGCCTGGGCGACAGAACAAGACCCTGTGTCAAAAAACGAAACAAAAAACGAAACAAAACTACAAAAGAGCCTTGTGGCTAAGATCCTGTATGCTGGCCAACCCTTTTAAGTGCCACCTACTGGATCACACTTCAAAATACAACACTGAAAAATTTTGCCAGTATACAATGAAGGGAAAAATTCAGCCACAAATAAAGATCCTGTGCAGAGTCCTGGCATCTGAAAACACCCAGAAATGAAGCCAAGCGACTGTACTCAACCGACATCACAGTTAAAGGAACACCAGCCCTCACACAAGAGAAAGAATCAACACCAAGGCCGGGCGCGGTGGCTCACACCTGTAATCCCAGCACTTTGGGAGGCTGAAGTGGGCAGATCACCGGAGGTCAAGAGTTTGAGACCAGCCTGACCAACGTGACAAAACCCGGGCTCTACTAAACATACAAAAATTAGCCGGGCGTGGTGGCACACACCTGTAATCCCAGCTACTCAGGAGGCTGAGACAGGAGAATCGCTTGAACCCGGGAGGTGAAGGTTGCAGCAGTGAGCTGAGATCGTGCCACTGCACTCCAGCCTGGGCGACAGAGTAAGACTCTGCCACAAAAAAGAAAAAAAAAAGAAAAAAAAAAAAGAATCAACACAAGAACTCTGGCAACTCGATAGTTCCCCAGAAATCTGGTTCTTAGCTACATTGAGATGAATGAAACGAGGGTTATAGAATTCAGAATCTGGATGGCCAGGACGCTCTTCGAAATTGAGGAGAAATTTGAAACACAATCCAAGGGGTCCATGGTGGGGACACACTGGCTTTTTGAGTTCCCAGAATTCTTTTTCATGTGTGGGGGCCCGGTCATTATGCCACAGCCATCAGACAGAGAGGAGTCCAGTCTCTCTTCCCCGTGAGCTCCCACCCCCACTTTACCAGGCAGAGCCCCCAGCTCGGGAGTGCAGAGCAGCTGCCCCGCCCTCAGCACACTCACTGGTGGTGGCTCGTGTTTCCCTGGGGAGTGGCTCCCAGAGGCAACTGACAGCCCCTCTGCCACTGCCATGGCAAGGGTTCTGCCTCTGCTGCCCGTGATCTGGGGAAGAAGCAAGGAGCCTGGGGCCTTCATTCATGCTTCAATTTATTTATTTATTTATTTATTTATTTATTTATTTATTTATTTGAGACGGAGTCTCGCTCTGTCGCCCACGCTGCAGTGCAGTGGCCCGATCTCGGCTCACTGCAAGCTGCGCCTCCCGGGTTCACACCATTCTCCTGCCTCAGCCTCATCCTCCTCCCGAGTAGCTGGGACTACAGGCGCCCGCCACCACGCCCGGCTCATTTTTTGTGTTTTCAGTAGAGACGGGGTTTCACCAGATTAGCCAGGATGGTCTCGATCTCCCGACCTCGTGATCCGCCCGCCTCGGCCTCCCAAAGTGCTGGGATTCCGAGCGTGAGTCCACCGCGCCCGGCCTTCATTCATGCTTCCAGCACACCGCAGTCGCCATACGGAGAGGAGCTCAGTCTCCTCTCCCTGTGAGCCCTCAACCCCCTGCTCTTCACCAAGCCCCAGCTTGATTCCGCGGCACAACAGCCCCACCCTCTGGCGGAGCGTTCCCAGCAGCTGTGAGTCTGCGTTTCTCTGTGGCGGAGCTCCCAGAGGCAACGGAAGGTCACTCTGCCGCTGCCACTGCGGTGGTACTGGCCTTGCTGCCCTCAGACTGGGGAAGGAGCAAAGACTCTGAGTGCTTCAACCACACCTCCAGCAAACTGCCCTAAGGAGAAGAGGCCAGTCTGTCACCCCTGTGACCCACCTGTCCCCCCTGCTCATCACTAGGCAGGGCCCCTAGCTTGGACCCACAGTGCAGTCGCCCCACTCTTGGCTCATCGCACTGATAGTGGCTCCACATCTCTCTGGGGTGGAGTTCCAAGGGACAAGTGAAAGGCCGTCTGCCACAACCGCTGCTAAGGTCCCTTCCCCTGCTGCCCCCAAGCCACGGAGGGAACATAAAGTCTGAGCTCACCCCAGAGCTGTGATGTGCAGCCTGGGAGTGCCGAGCCCAGATCTGCAGCCAGCACTTGGGTGGGAGAGGAGCCCGCACTTTCAGAGCGTGAGAGGGAGCACAGCGGCAATCATGAGGAATGACCTACTGGCCGTTGTGCTGAAGCATCATTTACCGGATTGCAGCCCAAACTTCAACACCAAAAATGCTCGCTAATATACCTCCCTGTGAAACCAAGGACAAGAATTTAGCTATAAATAAAGACCCTGTGCGAAGCCCCAGCCCTCTGAAACCATCCAGAAAAGAAGTCTACTGACTGTGCTCAAATTACATCACGGTTAAAAGAAAAAAGAAAAAAATTCAAATTGCAGCACACTCAAAGGAACATTAGCCCACATGGATGAGAAAGAACTGAGCAAGAACTCCATCAACTCAAAAAGCAACAGTGTCTTCCTTCCTCCAAATTACCACACAAGCTTCCCAGCAAGGGCTCTTTACCTGGCTGAAATGACAGAAATAGAATTCAGAATATGGATAGAAATTAAGGTCATCAAGATTCAGGAGAAAGTTGAAACCCAATGCAAGGAACCTAAAGATTACAATAAAATGACAGAGGGGCTAATCTATGAGATGGTCATTTTGAAAGAACCAAACGGATCTGATGGAGCTGAAAAACACACTACGAGATTTCATAATGCGATCACAAGTATTAATGGCAAAATAAAGCAAAATAAGGAAAGAATCTCAGAGCATGAATACTGGCTCTCTGAACTAATTCAGTCAGACAAAAATGAAGAAAAAGAATAAAAAATAATGAACAAAACCTCTAAGAAATATGGGATCATGAAAAGAGACCAAATAGCCCATTGGCATCCCCGAAAGAGATGGGGAGAAAGCAAGGAACATGGAAAACATATTTCAGTGTATTGTTCATGAAAACTTCCCCAACGTCACTAGAGAGGCCAAGAATCAAATGCAGGAAACAGAGAACCCCTGCAAAATACTACACAAGAAGAGCATCCCCAAGACACAAAATCATCAGATTCTTCAAGGTAGAAATGAAAGAAAGAAATGTCGGCCGGGCGCGGTGGCTCACGCCTGTAATCCCAGCACTTTGGGAGACCAAGGCGGGCGGATCACGAGGTCAGGAGATTGAGACCATCCTGGCTAACATGGTGAAACCCCATCTCTACTAAAAAAATATAAAAAATTAGCTGGGCGTGGTGGTGGGCACCTGTAGTCCCAGCTACTGGGGAGGCTGAGGCAGGAGAATGGCGTGAATCCGGGAGGCGGAGCTTGCAGTGAGCCGAGATCACGCCATTGCACTCCAGCCTGGCAGCCTGGGCAACAGAGCAAGACTCAGTCTCAAAAAAAAAAAAAAAATGTGAAAAGGCAGCAAAAAAGAAGGGGCAGGTCACCTACAAAGGGAATGCCATCGAGCTAACAGCAGACCTTTCAGCAGAAACTCTACAATCCAGAAGAGATTGGGGGCCTATATTTAATGTTCTTATGAAAAGAATTTCCAACCAAGAATCTCATTCCCAGCCAAACTAAGTTTCATAAGTGAAGGAGAAATAAGATCCTTTACAGACAAGCAAATGCTGAGGGAATTTATTACCATCAGGCCTGCCTTACAAGAGGTCCTAAGAGGAACGCTAAATATGGAAAGAAAAGACCATCACCAGCCAATAGAAAACACACTTACGTACATAAACCAGTGACACTATAAAACAACCACACAAACAAGTCTGCATAATAACCAAACCAGCTAACAACATGATGACAGGAAAAAATCTGCACATGTAAATGCTAACTTTGAATGTAAATGGACTAATTGTCCTAATTAAAATGCAGAGAGTGGCAAGTTGGATAAAGAAGCAAGAGGCCAGGTGCAGTGGCTCACGCCTGTAACCCCGGCACTTTGGGAGGCTGAGGTGGGTGGATCATTTGAGGTCAGGAGTTCGACATTAGCCTGGCCAATGTGATGAAATCCCATCTCTAATAAAAAAAAAAAATAGCTGGGCGTGGTGGTACACACCTGTAATCCCAGCTATTTGGGAGGCTGAGGCAGGAGAATCATTTGAACCTGGGAGGCAGAAGTTGCAGTGAGTCAAGATCATACCACTGCACTCCAGCCTGGGTGACAGAGTGAGACTCCATCTCAAAAAAAAAAAAAAAAAAAAAGCAAGACTCAACATTATGCTGCCTATAAGAAACCCATCTCATATGCAATGACATCCATAGGCTCAAAGTAAAGAAATGGAGAAAAATCTACCAAGCAAATGGAAAGCCAAAAAAAAAAAAAAATGCAGGAGCTGCTATTAAAATTTCAGACAAAACAGACTTTATACCAACAAAGATCAAAAAAGGCAAAGAAGGGCATTAAATCATGGTAAAGGGTTCAATTCAACATGAAGACCATAGCAGGACAGTGGCCACGGAAGTCGGAATCTGCTAAGGAGTGTGTAATAGCCCAACTGCTGAATCAAAAAGAAAAAGAAAAAAAAAATTAAAAAAAGAGCATGAAGACCTAACTATCCTAAATATATATGCACCTAACATGGAAGCACCCGGATTCATAAAGCGTGTTCTGAGAGACCAACGAAGAGACTTAGACAACCACACAATAATAGGGGGAGACTTTAACATCCCGCCGACAGTATTAGATCATTGAGGCAAACAGAGATATTCAGGACCTGAACTCAGCAGTGGATCAAATGGACCTGACAGACATCTACAGAACTCTCCACCCCCAAAACAACAGAATCTACATTGTTTTCATTGCCTCATGGCACATACTCTAAAGTCAATCATACAATCAGACATACAGCAATCCTTAGCAGGCTGGGCGCGGTGGCTCACACCTGTAATCCCAGCACTTTGGGAAGCCAAGGCTGGCGGATCATGAGGTCAGGAGATCGAGACCATCCTGGCTAACGCAGTGAAACCCCGTCTTTACTAAAAATACAAAAAAAATTAGCCGGGCGGGGTGGCGGGCACCTGTAGTCTCAGCTACTCAGGAGGCTGAGGCAGGAGAATGGTGTGAACCCGGGAGGCGGAGCTTGCAGTGAGCCTAGATTGCGCCACTGCACTCCAGCCTGGGCGACAGAGCAAGACTCCATTTCAAAAAAAAAAAAAACAATCCTTAGCAAATCCAGAAAAGCGAAATCAGAGCACAGTGGAATAAAAATAGGAATAAATACTAAGAAAACCACTCAAAACTGTACAATGCATGGAAATTAAGCAGTCTGTTCTGGAATTTTTGGGTAAATATAGCAGAATCTCTGGGACACAGCTAAGGCAGTGTTAAGGGGGAAGTTTATAGCACTAAACTCCCACTTCAAAAAGCTAGAAAAAGTTCAAATTAACAACCTAACATCATAACAAGAGGAACTAAGAGAACCAAGAGGAAATCAACCCCAAAGCTCATAGGAAACAAGAAATAACCAAAATCAGAGCTGAGCTGAAGGAGATTGAGACACGAAAAAGCATTCAGAAGATCAGCAAATCGAGGAGTAGAATTTTTGAAAAAATTAGTAAGACAGATGACTAGTTAGACTAATAAAGAAGAAAAGAGAGATGATCCGGATAAACACAATTAGAAACAACAAAGGGTATATTACCACTCACCCCACAGAAATACAATCATCAGAGAATATTATGAACACCTCTATGCACACAAACTAGAAAATCCAGAATAAATGGAGAAATTCCTGGACACATACACCCTCCTGAGATCAAACCAAGAATAAATTGAATACATGAACAGACCAATAATGAGCTCCAAAATTGAATCAGTAATAAAAATCCTACAGACCAGAAAAAGCCCAGTACCAGACAGACTCACAGCTGAATCCCATCTGATATATAAAGAAGAGCTGGTACTATACCTACTGAAACGTTCCAAAAATATTCAGGAGGAGGAATGCCTCCCCAGCTCATTCTATGAGACCAGCATCATCTTGATGCAAAAACATGGCAGAGACACAACAAAACCAGAAAACTTCAGGACAATATCCTTGTTGAACATAAATGCAAAAATCCTCAACAAAATACTAGCAAACTATCCAGCAGCACATCAGAAAGCTAATCCACCACCATCAGGTAGGCTTTATTTCTGGGATGCAAGGTTGATTCGATATAGGAGTCTCGCTCTGTTGCCCAGGCTGGAGTGTAGTGGCGTGAACTTGGCTCACTGCAAGCTCCGCCTCCTGGATTCACGCCATTCTCCTGCCTGAGCCTCCCGAGCAGCTGGGACTACAGGTGCCCACCACCACGCCTGGCTAATTTTTTTGTGTTTTTTAGTATAGACGAGGTTTCACCGTGTTAGCCAGGATGGTGTCGATCTCCTGACCTCATGATCCACAAGCCTTGGCTTCCCAAAGTGCTGGGATTACAGGCATGAGCCACAGTGCCCGGCCAATATACACAAATCTTAAATATGATTCATCACATAAATAGAACAACCCTCCCCACACACATAATCCTCTCAATAGAGCTTTTGATAAAATTCAACATCCCTTTATGCTAAAAAACCTCGACAAACTAGGCATTGAAGAAACATATTTCAAAATAATAAGAATGATGTATGACAAACTCACAGTCAACATCATATTGAATGGGCAAAAGCTGGAAGTATTCCCCTTGAAAACTGGCAAAAGACATGGATGCCGTCTCTCACTACTTCTGTTCAACATAGTACTGGAGGTCCTAGCTAGAGCAATCAGGCAAGAGAGAAATAAAAGGCATCCAAATAGGAAGAAAGGAAGTCAAACTATCCCTGTTTGCAGGTGATATGATTCTATACCTAGAAAACCACAGTCTCTGCCCAAACACTTCTTAATCTGATAAACAACTTTAGCAAAGTTCCAGGATACAAAATCAATATATAAAAATCAGTAGCATTCCTATACACCAAAAACATCTAAGCTGAGAGCCAAATCAAGAATAGAATCCATTCACAATTACTGCAAAAAGAATAAAATACCTGGGAATACAGCTAACCAGGGAGGTGAAAGATCTCTGCAAGGAGAACTACAAAACACTGGTCAAAGAAATCATAGATGACACAAACAAATGGAAAAACATTCCATGCTCATGGATAGGAAGAATGAGTATTGTTCAACACACAAATAATTCAGGCTTTAGAAGGAGCTGGAAGAGAGAAGACATGGATGGACGTGGGGCTCACACCCATTAGGAGGCTAAGGCAGTAGTAGTTGGGGTGGCAGAATATTCAGTAGTACACTAAGACTGCCTCATGCTTAGTACTGCAGTAGTACTACAGAATGCTAGAGTGTTCAGTAGGGTTAGACTATGGCAGCATCCTTTTAAATGAAGTGACGGGAGGAAGTGGGTTGCTAAAACAAAATAGAATCAGCATAAGGAAGGATATTGGGCAGATGACTCCTGACTTCCTCATTCTTGCAGTTTGAGCATTCAGTAAATTACAGATCCTTCATGGACAGTCTAACACAGGCAAGGACTAACTATAAATCCAGGCCTGAGCATTAATGAGTCTGAAGGGTTTGGAGATAACAAAGTGAGATAGAAATTATGCAAGAGAAGCACAGCAGAAACAACTAGAATGGGGATTAAAATAAGAATGGTGCTTCAGGCTATTCCTCAATTTCTTTATCCTAGAGCTCCCAAGAGGGTCTAAAGGGGCTGGGAGAGATTTACAGGACACTTACCTTCCTGTGCCTGAATCCTCTGGCCCAGACAGAGCACTGGAAGAGAGAGATTTATGAAAAATCAAGCTTCCATTTCCAACCTTTACGACAAATCACCCTCTGTAATGACAGACCAGAAAAAGACCAGTACCAGATGGATTCACAGCTCAATCCCACCAGATATATAAAGAAGAGCTGGCATTTTTTTTTTTTTTTGAGACAGAGTCTCGCTGTGTCGCCCAAGCTGGAGTGCAGTGGCATGATCTTGGCTCACTGCAAGCTCTGCCTCCCAGGTTCATGCCATTCTCCTGCCTCAGCCGCACGAGTAGCTGGGACTACAGGCGCCCGCCACCATGCCTGGCTAATTTTTTTGTATTTTTAGTAGAGACAGGGTTTCACCATGTTGGCCAGGATGGTTTTGATCTCCTGACCTTGTGATCCGCCTGCCTTGGCCTCCCAAAGTGCTGGGATTGCAGGTGTGAGCCACTGCGCCCGGCCAAGAAGAGCTAGTATTATTCCTACTGAAACTATTGAAAAAAATCCTGGAGGAGGGACTCCTCCCCAACTCATTCTATGAGGCCAACATTATCCTGATAACAAAATGTGGCAGAGATACAACAAAAACAGAAAACTTCTGGATAATATCTTTGTTGAACATAAATGCAAAAATCTTCAACAAAATACTAGTAACCATATTTCTATATGGGGTTCTATCATATGTTTTCCTTCCACAACAATCACAGTTTTGAGGTTCATTCTTTATTTTTACCTTTCAGATTCCAGCCTCTAAGTCTCTCCTTGATAAGAACCTTGGGACCATCATGAATCCCAGATAACACACTATAGGTTTAATACAAATATTAAACCTTGAGCCCCACAAGCTAGCTTGGGCTTGGGTAGAGACAAAGTTATAGATACATTGACAAAGACGGCCTTTCCACTAAGGAGATCAGAATCTCCTTGGCAGCCACTAAAATCTCCTAGTCACACTGTTAAGAGACACCCTGATTATTTTGGGATTTCTCTATCTTCCCCTCTAACCCACTTTTACTCTGAAACTCACCAAGACACAGGAGGGTGGTCTGTTTGGGGTCCATCGTGCTGACACGGCCTCAGCCCCGTTGCTCTCCTTTCAATGCACATTAGCAGGATGACAGATATTCTTACGACAATAAGCTCCGCAGGAAGTATGAGGACAGAGCCCCTCGTCAGGGAATTTCCACATCTATTGCCTCACAACAAAGTGGAACAGTTCGTTGCCGAATAACTTAGTTCCAGGTTGCTCTTGGGTGGAGCCCAAGAGAAGACATATATATGTATATTTTTTTAAATAGAGATGGGGTCTTTCTATGTTGGCCAGGGTAGTCTCTAACTTCTGGCATCAAGAAATCCTCCTGCCTAAGACCTATATTTCTATTTATGTTTCAGATGAGAAACGAATGAGAAGTGAATTTTCATTAAGCCAGTGTCTAATGGTGTTCAAATTCATCTTTGAACCAGATGCTACATCCAAATAGACGGGCTTGGGACAGAATATAAGGTGGTGGATACCATACAGGCAGACATTGCCTTCACTGGGCCATTAGTCAAAAGCTCTGTGGCTTTGTCTGTTCTGAACCTATGTTTCATCTCTGAGATTCATGGTCTGAGTATATTTACTTGGACTTGACCAGGCATGCAGTATACCCTTATCCTGGAGATGATCTCAATGCCAGAGTGTGGAGGCATTTTCTCTGGCACTATTTGTCATCTCTAAAGAAAGAATCTACTATTTTATTATACTTTTTTGTTTATTTGTATAAATTTAAGGAGCGCAAGTGAAATTTTATTACGTGGATATTTTGTGTAGTGGTGAAGTCTGGGCTTTTAATATAATTATCCTCAAATAATGTACATTGTTGCTCATTGAGTATTTTTTTAACTTTTATTTTAGGTTCAAGGGTACATGGGAAGGTTTGTTATACAGGTAAACTTGTGTCATGGGGGTTTGTTGTACAGATTATTTCATCACCTAGGTAATAAGCTTGGTACCTAATAGTTACTTTGCCTGCTCCTTTCCCGCCTCCCACCCTCCACCCTAAAGGAGACCCCATTGTCTGTTTTTCCCTTTTTTGTGTTCATGAGTTCTATTATTTAGCTTCCACTTATAAGTGAGAACCTGCTGTATTTGGTGTTCTGTTCTTGTATAGTTTGCTAAGGATAATGGCCTCCAGCTCCATCCATGTTTCCACAAAACATATGAACTCATTCTTTTTTTATGGCTTCAAATTAATTTTATTTTTATCTTATTATTTATGTTATTTTGATTGTAGACTCCTGGCTATCACGAATTCTTCAGGTATGGAGAGTGAAATATTCCTAATTAAACCTTCTACTATTTTATTTTATTTTATTTATTCTTTTTTTTTTTTTGAGACGGAGTCTTGCTCTGTCGCCCAGGCTGGAGTGCAGTGGCGTGATCTCAGCTCACTGCAAGCTCCACTTCCCGGGTTCATGCTATTCTCCTGCCTCAGCCTCCCGAGTAGCTGGGACTACAGGCACCCGCCACCACGCCCGGCTAATTTTTTTTTGTATTTTCAGTAGAAACGGGGTTTCACCGTGTTAGCCAGGATGGTCTCGATCTCCTGACCTCGTGATCCACCCACTTCGGTCCCCCAAAGTGCTGGGATTACAGGCGTGAGCCACCGCGCCCCACTTTATTTTCATTTTAATACATCATAACTTAGCCCTTCCAACGCCGAAGTATTTTGAAGTCCTGAGCTTGTCCCATATTTCAGAAAGCCGATCAGCTTCCATGTTGACTGTTTCATTTGTGCAAATTTAAGTGACCTTTTGTTTTGCCACATTTTGTTAATTTCCACATACATATTTACGTTCGGGAAATTTGGAAATACTACGTTCTAGAAATTTGGTGTTGATGATTGCATGAAATTGACCGCATTCTAATTTTCTTTTTTTGTTGTTTTGTTACTTATGCCTTATTTATTCATTCCTTTGTTCTCACTTGAATGGGACTTTGGGTGAAAGACAAATAATGGCTGTACTCTTAGTTGAGTATTTAAAATGCAGAGATTGTAAAGGCAGGATGACCTAATTAAAAATACTATTGTTGGCTGGGTGCAGTAGCTCATGCCTGTAATCCCAGCACTTTGGGAGGCCAAGGCAGGTGAATCACTTGAGTTCAGGAATTTAAGACCAGCCTGGTCAATGTGGTGAAACCCAGTCTCTACTAAAAATATAAAAAATTACTTGGGTGTGGTGGCGGGTGCCTGTAATTCCAGCTACTCGGAAGGCTGAGGCAGGAGAGCCACTTGAACCCAGGAGGCAGAGGTTGCAGTGAGCCAAGATCACTGCACTCCAGCCTGGGCAACACAGAGCGAGACTGTGTCTCAAAAAAACAAAAGCTATTGTTATGGTTTACAAATGACGTGGCTTTCTATTGGGAGAGAGATACTTACTAATTGTTGAATTTCAGGAACTTCAGTGGCCAATATTTACTAATGGGCTGGAACAGATTTTGTCAACTTACCACAACATTTGGTGTGGTTTTGTTCTTTTGTTTCCTCCTTTTGTGGAACAGGAATGGTAACGTAGCCATGGGGTGCTGAGATATTTGGTTAAACATTATTCTGTGTGTGTCTGTGGGGGTGTTGCTGAATGAGATTATCAATGGAATTAGTGTAATTTATAAAGCAGATTGCTCTCCCTAATGTGAGTCGGCCTCATTCAATCAGGTGGGACCTGAATAGAACAAAACATTGAACTGGTAATGTAAGATGAAGTTCCTTTTGCCTGGACATCAGTCTTTTCTGGCTCTTGAACTCTCACTAAAACATTGACTCTTTAGATGTTAAGCCTGCCAGCTTTTTTTGTTTGTTTGTTTTTTTGAGATAGAGTCTCACTCTGTCACCCAGGCTGGAGTGCTGTGGCATGATCTCGGCTCACTGCAACCTTCACCTCTTGGGTTCAAGCAATTCTCGTACCTCAGCCTCTGAGTAGCTGGGATTACAAGCGAATGCCACTATGCCCGGCTAATTTTTGTATTTTTAGTAAAGATGGGGTTTCACCATGTTGGCCGGGCTGGTCTTGAACTCTGACCTCAGGTGATCTGCCTGCCTTGGTCTCCCAAAGTGTTGGGATTACAGGCGTGAGCCATCATGCCCGGCATGAGCCTGCTAGCTTTTGGACTGTTACGTATACCACTAACTCTACTGGTTCTCAGACTTTTGCACGTAGACTGGAACTACACGTGGACTCCCCTGGGTCTCCAGCTTGCAGATGGCAGATCATGGGACCTGTCAGTCTACATAGTTGCATAAGCCAATATATAAATACCCTATCTGTGTATCAATCGTTATATATCTGTCATTATCCAACTATATGTCTATCATTATTTGTGATATCATTATATATCTATCATTATTTGTCTATCAATCATTATCTATATATCTATCATTATTAGTGTTGATTATTTTTTTTTCTGGAGAACCCTGACTACTATAGCTTCCATGTTCCTGTCTCAACTGTCACCAGTCCCCTTAGCACAGGGCCTATCATAGCCATTCTACGGCCCAAGGAATTACAAGCCACATAACTACAGGAGTCACAGTGACCCAAGGATTTAGACGGAGACACGGAAGAATTGAGGCATCTATTGGTCTCTGCATATTTTGGGATTTGGGATTTCCCAGCAGGGAAATTTGCCTTGAATCTGTCTAACTGGTCACTAAGAGTTGATTGGTAGGTTCCATTCTCCGTGCACAGCATAAACCCTAATAAGCCCAAACTGACTGGCAGTGGAGACTCTCAACCCTCAATGGGACCAAACTGTGACTGGCAGTGGAGACTCTCAACCCTCAATGGGACCAAACTGTGACTGGCAGTGGGGACCTTCAACCCTCAGTGGGACCGAACTGTGACTGGCAGTGGGGACCTTCAACTCTCAGTGGGACTTTACAGCACTCAGCTGCACCTGTGTGGAGAATTTGTCTCAAACACCTAAGAAGGAAGGAGGCCTTTGTTTCGAGGAAGAAGAAGGGGAGCTGCTTCTCTATCCACTGACCTCAGAGGTACCGGAGAGTGTCCAGTGAGGGCCTTAACTCTCTGCAGTATTTTTTTTTTTTTTGAGATGGAGTCTCACCCTGTCGCCCAGGCTGGAGTGCAATGGCAGGATCTCGGCTCACTGCAACCTCTGCCTCCCCAGTTCAAACGATTCTCCTGTCTCAGCCTCCTGAGTATCTCAGATTTACAGGCACCTGCCACCATGCCCAGCTATTTTTTGTATTTTTAGTAGAGACAGAGTTTCACCATGTTGGCCAGGCTGATCTCGAACTCCTGACCTCGTGATCTGCCCACCTCCGCCTCCCAAAGTGCTGGGATTATAGGCGTGAGCCACTGCACCCAGCCACTCTCTGCAGTTTTAAAGGCCATTTCCATGAATTAGAGTATACTTAGGCACTGAGGTAAGCATGGCACAGCTTTCTGAAAATAAAGTTGAAACTTAGAGGTTTCTTTTAGCTTTATTGAGATATGATTGACAAATGGAAATTGTATATATTTAAGGTGTATTACACTTGATGTTTTGATGTATGTATACATGGTGACATGATCATCATAGTCAAGCTAGTTATATCCATCATCTCGCAGGGTTATTGTTTTTTTTTTTTTTTTTTTTTGAGAGGAAGTCTTACTCTGTCCCCCAGGCTAGAGTGCAGTGGTGCCATCTTGGCTCACTGCAACCTCCGCTCCCAGGTTCCAGCAATTCTCGTGCCTCAGCCTCCTGAGTAGCTGGGATTACAGGCTTGTGTCACCACGCCTGGCTAATGTTTGCATTTTTAGTAGAGACAGGGTTTCACCATGTTGGCCATGCTGGTCTTGAACTCCTGACCTCAAGTGATCTGCCCGTCTTGGCCTCCCAAAGTGCTGGGATTACAGGCGTGAGCCACCGCGCCCGGCCTATGGTTTCTTTTTCTTTCTTTCTTTTTTTTTTTTTTTGTGGTGAGGACCCTTAAGATCTACTCTCCCAGCCGGGCGTGGTGGCTCATGCCTGTAATCCCAGTACTTTGGGAGGCCGAGGCAGGCGGATCACGAGGTCAGGAGATCGAGACCATCCTGGCTAACACAGTGAAACCCCGTCTCTACTAAAAATACAAAAAATTAGCAGGGCGTGGTGGCGGGCGCCTGTAGTCCCAGCTACTCGGGAGGCTGAGGCAGGAGAATGGCGTGAACCCAGGAGGCGGAGCTTGCGGTGAGCCGAGATCGCGCCACTGCACTCCAGCCTGGGTGACAGAGCAAGACTCCAGCTCAAAAAAAAAAAAAAAAAAAAAAAAATCTACTCTCCCATGCTTGCCTCGGCAGCACATATACTAAAATTGGAACGATACAGAGAAAACTAGCATGGCCCCTGCGCAAGAATGACACGCAAATTCGTGAAGTGTTCCATATTTAAAAAAAAAAATCTACTTTCCTGGTAAATTTCAAGTATAGAGTACAGTATTGTCAACCATAGTGGCAAAGCTGTACAAGAGATCTTCAGACCCATTCCTCCTGAATACCTGATAGTTTGTATCCTTTGATCAACATCTCCCAATTCCCTCCCCCACACTGTCCCTGTAGTTCTAGTGAGTTTCCCAGACTCTGATGTCTCAATTTCATTCAGTCACTTTCCTCCAGATACATCTACCCATTCCTACTGCATCTTAGTATCCTGAGCCTTGGGGGCAGTTTCTGTGCCAAGTGGAAATGTGGAAATGAGATATTACGAAGAAAAATCTTTGCCCACCTAGACAGGGATCTGATGTTTTCCAAGATGACACATGATTACATGTTGAAATGATAATATTTTGAGTCTACTTGTATAATAAAATAATATTTTGGATCTATTAGGTTAATATTTTGGGTCTGTTGGGTTAATAATATTTTGGGTCCATTGGGTTAACTTAAATTAATTTTATCTGTTTCTTGTTAGCTTTTTAATTTGGATACTAGCAAGTTTGAAAGAATGCATGTGGTTTGCATTATGTTTCTATAGGACAGAACTTACCTGTAGATGTAAGGGAGTCACAACAAAATTACAAGCATTGTTTTTGGTGGAAATGAGAAAAATGATTACAAATTTACATGGAAAAGCAAATAGCCAATAATAATAATAATGGCAATCTTAAAGAGGAAGGAGAAATTAGAGGATTCAGGCTGCCAAATTTTAAGGGGTTCTATAAGGCCACATAAAGTGCAGCATCCTCATGAGAGTGGACACAGAGAGCCACTGAGCAGAAAAGAGTGTGTAAAATACATCTGTGTACACACAGTCCTTTTATAGTTGACAGAGGCTGCCATGCGGATTAAGGTGGAATAGAATGTCTTCTCAGTAAATAACATTGGACCAGAGGGTTACAAGCAGGAAAAAATAAATCTAAGCTTATTTTCACACCATAAAAACACTGCTAATTTTTTATCTTATTATCATACATTTTGATGATTTATTTATAAAATTGATGAATGAAAATTATATACAGTTGTCCTTCACTATTCATGGGTGATTGGTTCCAGGAAACCCCCCTCCCTACCAGACACCAAAATCTGCAGATGCTCAAGCCTGTTGCATGAAATGGCACAGCGTTTGCATATAACCCATGCACATCCTCCTGTATACATGAAATCATCTCTAGATTACTTATAATTCCTGATACAGCCTACACACCACCTCACTTGTGTCCACACAATATAGTATTTTTGCTTTTTGGAACTTTGTGGATTTTTTCTCTGAATATTTTTGATTTATATTTGGTTCAATAAACACCTGTAAACCCCACAGATATGGAGGAGCGACTGTATATTTATAGTATGAAAGATGATGTGTTGACATGTGTCCCTGTGGAGATGAGACTAACAAGGCCTATGACTCTACAAATGTTTCATCTTGGAATGACTCTGCCAGCTTTCCAGGTCTGCAGAGAGTAAGAATATCACTTGTTCATGTGATTCACGATCCTTGGAACCTCCTATGTGCTGCATCTTTGGATGGAAATTGGAGTCCCAGAGACAAATGAGGCTCCACCCTGCTTCCAGAAGCTCAGAGTCCAGGGCTGAGAACCCAGTAGAGAACATATCAGGTTATATGGACATAGTAATGATAACACTGGAAACTTTTGGCGAATAAAGAGTCACATTATCGAAACCATGAGGGCAGACATGTTTATTTGAAGAGGAGAGAGCTACACTGAAGTTATAAAAAAAATTTATAAATTTTACTGATGACAGAAGGCTGAAAGATAGTCTGAGGGGAGGTGGAACAGCATGAGGGAAGGTGGAACAGCAAGTGTGTAAGTGCCGTGTTAAGAGGGAGCCTCTTGTATGTTTGGAATTGTGAGTTCCTCAGTGTGATTGCAGCCTCAAGTAGGACTAGGAAGTAAGCCAGTTAGGTTGGAGAGGTGGGCAGGGGTCAAGTGAAATAGATACTTGTGGGCTAAGCAAAGGAGTGTGTTTTCTCTGCAGCAGGCAGTGGCGACCTTAGGCATTTGTAAGCAAGAGAGAGGCATGTTCAGATTCGTGGTGTGAGGAAGAGCGATCCCCTAAGATGCAGACTGATGCCTTCAGATTCCAGCTGCTGGTTCATTGGATCTGGCAACCTGGTTTTGAGACAGGGCTGTTGTCTCCCTAGAAAACCCCCTCAAGACCTGACTGTGGTGCTCGTGGGCAGGAGACAACTTTGGATCTGGGCTCAGCATTTGGAAGTTCCGTGTACACGCTGGTATCTGTTAGGGGTGTCTTGGGCCTCTGAGAAGGGCGACTGATTTTTCTCTGTATGAAAACGCAGTGATCCAACTGTGCGTACGTCACCTCCTGAGGGTCTTGTTCATCAGAGTCCTGGAGAGAGGGAAATGCTGAGTGAGGGAGGGTGCTCACATTTTTCAGGACTATTAGGGATAAGACTGTATCCGTGAGGCTGGGCCGAGGAGGACCTACCTGCCTATTCACTGTTCTGTCCCCCGCAGGCTCTTGGTCCATTACAGCAGCATCTGTAGGAGACGGAAGTCATCAAAACCGCTTGGAGGGCCCTTCTGGGTCCTCATTTCATGGGCAGACACCAACCCACAGGGGGAGGCTGTAGGTGCCTGAGGCTCTTCAGCTGCCAACATCCAGACTCAGACATTCTATCTCTCTGAGTTCAAGACCCCATCCCATGAAGTGCTCTCAATTGGCATCCCATTGATTCTGTCTCCCACTTTCTGCCTGTCATGGAAGCTTCTGGATGTCAGTGGCTGCAGGGGATGTGAGGATACAGTTCAGAACCAGGCAATGGTCTGTGAGCTGAAGGCAGGGGCAGGTTGTCTGGTGCTCTCTCTAGAAAGCCCTGCCTCTGTGGCTCCTCCCTTGGGCCAGGGACCATCCTGCCAGTGAGGAACACACACCCGCGTGCTCCCATCCTGCTTCCCCACATGGCCCTGAGCTCTCTGGCCTCTGCTTCGTGAGACTTACTCTTTTTGTTGGAGCACCAGCGATAAAGGAGAAAGAAGAGGAGGAGGATGAAGAGGAAGATGACCACTGAGGTCCCAATCAGAACATGCAGGTGTCTGCAGATACCTGGAGGAAGATGGGAATCCAATAAGAAGCTAATCATAGCAGTTCCTCTTTATGGATTGTCTCATTTCTTGATTGACAGGTAACCACATGGAACATCTCCTTAGGACAAGCAGCCTGATGGCGGGAGACCCAGCTTTCTCCTGCTTTCTCAGTTACAGCTCTCATAGAAACCATAGAACATGCTGAGGATACAGCTGCTTTAGTTTAGATGTTTGACCCTTTGAAACCTCACACTGAAATATTGAAATTTAACCCCCAGTGTGGAAGTTTGGGCCTATGGGAAGGTGTTTGAGTCATGGAGGTGGATCCATCATGAATAGATTAATGCTGCCCCACATGATGGGGTTAGCAAGTTCCCCCTCTATTAGTTCCCGGAGGGCTGGTTGTTAAAAAGAGCTTGGAAGCTCCATCGCTCGCCCTCCCCCTTGCTCCCTCTCTTGCCATGTGATCTCTGTGGTCTCTGCACAGACAGACCCTCCTTCCCTTCTGCCAGAGTGGGAGCAGCCTGAGGCCGTCACAGGAAACAGATGCTGGTGCCATGCTTCCAGTACAGCCTGCAGAACTGTGAGGCAAACAAATCTGTTTTCTCTAGAAGTTGCCCAGGCTCTGGGATGCAAGGCTGGTTCAATATATGCAAATCAATAAATGTAATCCATCATATAAACAGAACCAAAGACAAAAACCGGACGATTATCTCAATAGATGCAGAAAAGGCCTTTGACAAAATTCAACAACGCTTCATGCTAAAAACTCTCAATAAATTAGGCATTGATGGGACGTATCTCAAAATAATAAGAGCCATCTATAACAAACCCACAGCCAGTATCATACTGAATGGGCAAAAACTGGAAGCATTCCCTTTGAAAACTGGCACAAGACAGGGATGCCCTCTTTCACCACTCCTATTCAACATAGTGTTGGAAGTTCTGGCCAGGGCAATTAGGCAGGAGAAGGAAATAAAGGGTATTCAATTAGGAAAAGAGGAAGTCAAATTGTCCCTGTTTGCAGATGACATGATTGTATATATAGAAAACCCCATTGTCTCAGCCCAAAATCTCCTTAAGCTGATAAGCAGCTTCTACAAAGTCTCAGGATACAGAATCAATGTACAAAAATCACAAGCATTCTTATACACCAATAACAGACAAACAGAGAGCCAAATCATGAGTGAACTCCCATTCACAATTGCTTCAAAGAGAATAAAATACCTAGGAATCCAACTTACAAGGGATATGAAGGACCTCTTCAAGGAGAACTACAAACCACTGCTCAATGAAATAAAAGAGGATACAAACAAATGGAAGAACATTCCATGCTCATGGGTAGGAAGAATCAAGATCGTGAAAATGGCCATACTGCCCAAGGTAATTTATAGATTCAATGCCATCCCCATCAAGCTACCAATGACTTTCTTCACAGAATTGGAAAAAACTACCTTAAAGTTCATATGGAATCAAAAAAGAGCCTGCATTGCCAAGTCAATCCTAAGCCAAAAGAACAAAGCTGGAGGCATCATGCTGCCTGACTTCAAACTATACTACAAGGCTACAGTAACCAAAACAGCATGGTACTGGTACCAAAACAGAGATATAGATCAATGGAACAGAATAGAGCCCTCAGAAATAATGCCACATATCTACAACTATGTGATCTTTGACAAACCTGAGAAAAACAAGCAATGGGGAAAGGATTCCCTATTTAATAAATGGTGCTGGGAAAACTGGCTAGCCATAGGTAGAAAGCTGAAACTGGATCCCTTCCTTACACCTTATACAAAAATTAATTTGAGATGGATTAAAGACTTAAACGTTAGACCTAAAACCATAAAAACCCTAGAAGAAAACCTAGGCATTACCATTCAGGACATAGGCATGGACAAGGACTTCATGTCTAAAACACCAAAAGCAACGGCAACAAAAGCCAAAATTGACAAACGGGATCTAATTAAACTAAAGAGCTTCTGCACAGCAAAAGAAACTACCATCAGAGTGAACAGACAACCTACAAAATGGGAGAAAATTTTCGCAACCTACTCATCTGACAAAGGGCTAATATCCAGAATCTACAATGAACTCAAACAAATTTACAAGAAAAAAACAAACAATCCTATCAAAAAGTGGGCAAAGGACATGAACAGACACTTCTCAAAAGAAGACATTTATGCAGCCAAAAAACACATGAAAAAATGCTCACCATGACTGGCCATCAGAGAAATGCAAATCAAAACCACAATGAGATACCATCTCACACCAGTTAGAATGGCGATCATTAAAAAGTCGGGAAACAACAGGTGCTGGAGAGGATGTGGAGAAATAGGAACACTTTTACACTGTTGGTGGGACTGTAAACTAGTTCAACCATTGTGGAAGTCAGTGTGGCGATTCCTCAGGGATCTAGAGCTTGAAATACCATTTGACCCAGCCATCCCATTACTGGGTATAAACCCAAAGGACTATAAATCATGCTGCTATAAAGACACATGGACACGTATGTTTATTGTGGCACTATTCACAATAGCAAAGACTTGGAACCAACCCAAATGTCCAACAATGATAGACTGGATGAAGAAAATGTGGCACATATACACCATGGAATACTATGCAGCCATAAAAAATGATGAGTTCATGTCCTTTGCAGGGACATGGATGAAATTGGAAATCATCATTCTCAGTAGACTATCACAAGGACAAAAATCCAAACACCGCATGTTCTCACTTATAGGTGGGAATTGAACAATGAGAACACATGGACACAGGAAGGGGAACATCACACTCTGGGGACTGTTGTGGGGTGGGGGGAGGGGGGAGGGATAGCATTAGGAGATATACCTAATGCTAAATGACGAGTTGATGGGTGCAGCACACCAGCATGGCACATGTATACATATGTAACTAACCTGCACATTGTGCACATGTACCCTAAAACTTAAAGTATAATAATAATAAAAATTTTAAAAAAAAGCTCATCAGAAGCACTATACAAAAAAAAAAAAAAAAAAAAAAGAAGTAACCCAGGCTCAAGTGTTCTTTTATAGCAACAAAAATGGACTAAGACAGCAACGTCCTGAGATCAGGAGGAACGTCTCAGAACAGCCTGTGCTGTCTTCCTGTTCTTCCTGGAGGAGGACGTCATGCAGTGCTTTAGCTGAGTGCTTCCTGTGGCTTCAGGGTACAAAACCCAGGCTGGGCTATTTTCTGGCTTCCCCCAGATACACTGCAAATGAGGTGACTCCATATGTCCCGAGCAGCTTTTCTGAGCCTTGAGGGACTGGCTCACGTTGAAATGTAGGCTTCTGTTGTCACTCGCTGCTTATCTGTTAGTAATGAACCTGCCTATGTAACGTATTCTCTGTGTGTTCTGTCTCCCTGGAGTGACGGTGAGTGATAGAAATTGGCATAGGCCCAGGTGCAGTACAGCAGGTGTTTAGAGTCTTCTCTGGAAAGACTGGACTGGGATTGATACACAGTGAATGTGCTTTACAGTTTCTACATCCACAACCCTCTTGACTCAAATTACATTCTCCAAGAAAAGGACACAAAAGTGAAATCAAGATCAAAAAAGCAAAGTAGAATTCTCTTATGTCAAACAGCCAGGAAATAATGATGAAGCCCATGTGAAACGTGCTACTCTTTGTGATCTCGCGAGACACATGTTAGGCTGCTGTTCCACCTGAGAGGCTGGGGGAAAGACCACCCCCTCCACCATCTATTGCTTCAAAACCACCTGTCCTCCTGTGAATTAGTAGGAAAGGGGAGCAGGAGCTAGTGCTGGTGCTGATCTCTGATTCCAAGATCTGAACTCACTCCAAGGAGTATTAGCGTTTACCTCCCCATGATCTATCTGTATCTCCACAGGTGATTGGAAGTAGGGGTGAGGTGGGGGATTTGGGTGAGGGGGAAAGTTTCTTGTGATGAACAGAGCACTTTCCCTATTTCAGGGCCTGTGCTGGTGGGTTCAGGGGGCTTTCATATTTTCCATATGATCTCATGTTCACAGAAAGCCAAATATGGAAGAGGTTTTAGGCTGATTTTCTAATGGATAAGATAAAGGATCAAAGAAGTAATTATAGAGGAATAGAAAAATGATGATTGGAATTCAGGTGCCTGCATCATTTGTGTATATTATTATATTTATGTATTTTTTATTTTTATTTTTTGAGACAGAGTATCCCTGTGTAGCCCAGGCTGGTGTGCAGTGATGCGATCTCCACTCACTGCAACCTCTGCCTCCAGGGCTGAAGTCATTCTCCTGCTTCCTCCTCCAGAGTAGCTGGGATTACAGTCATGCACCACCATCATGCCTGTTTAATTTTTGTATTTTTAGTAGAGATAGGGTTTCTCCATGTTGGCCAGGCTGGTCTCGAACTCCTGACTTCATGTGATCCACCCGCGTTGGCCTCCTGAAGTGCTGGGTTACAGGCGTGAGCCACCGTTCACAGCCTTGTATATTATGCTATACTAGGTCCCTTCATTTGCACCACCCCTCATCTAGCTCTCCCTCCTCTGCCAGGTATTGATTTAGATGCAGGAGAAATAAATCTCAGAAATAAGTTAGTGAAGCGAGGATTAAACTACCAGGAAAAATTAAACCCAGTAAGCGTTTCCAGTCAATGATTCTACCTCACAAACATATCTTATATCCATCTACTTCATTCATTTAGTGTCTAAATCAGCACCACATTTCACCAGTGGGGCGGCAATTGCCTTTTCCACGGTCTCCTAGATTCCAGTTATGCACCTGAGCCTCCCTTATTTTCATGTCAGTCATATTAATCATGTAGGGATTCCTGGTTACCCCGAGGTGAATCCAAGGGCTGTGAGTGTCAAACACACACTCCTTGTTGCTCCTTAGTTTCCTGTGTACCCAGTGTGCTCTCCGTCTCTCCACAGTCGTCTTGTCATTCTCCCCATCTCATTCCCGGCATTTCAGGCAGAGCCTCTTCCTTCCACATCAGATTGTTTTCACCTTTGTGCCTTCACGGCTGACAGCTGTGTGGAAAATCCTTCTGCCAATCTTCCAGGGGTTCAATCCGTGTTTTTCATTAATGTCACAAATATCTGATTAGTGAGAACTTCTCTGTCACCTGAAATCATACACTCAGCATTATCTATTATTGATTTGAAAATTTGGCTTGGCCCCGTGGCTCATGCCTCTTATCCCAGCGTGTTGGGAGGCAGAGGCTATTGGATCACCTGAGGTTGGGAATTTGAGACCAGCCTGGCCAACATGGTGAAACATCCTCTCTACAGAAAATATGCAAAAAGAGTTAGCCGGGCGTGGTGGTTGTGGTCTGTAATCCCAGCTACTGGAGAGGCTGAGGGAGGAGATCAGTTCAGCCCAGGAGGTGGAGGTTGCAGTGAGCCGAGATCATGCCACTGCACTCTAGCCTGGACGACAGAGCAAGGCTCCGTCTCAATAAACAAGTAGGTAAATACATAAATAAATAGATTTCATGCACAGATGCTTCTCAATAGATCATTCATTTATTGGTCCCCTTGTGCCTACATTTTCTGCCCTCCCATTTAACCATCTGCAAGATCAGTGTCCCAAGAACAGAGGCCAAATGCATCTTGTTCACTGTTTGTGGAAGGCAGGAGAATGTTGTCCCACCCCAAAAATGTCCATGTCCTAGCCTCCATAGCTTGTGAATATGTTATTTTACATGAAAGGAGGAATGAAGATTGCAGATGGAATTATGGTTGCTAGTCAGCTGAACTTAAAAGGAGGGTATCCTGGATGATTTCTGGGAGATTATGATGGATTTTCATCTTGGTGAACCCAATAGAATCCCCAAGTTTTCAAAAGAAGGGCAAGAAGGGAGAGCAGCATTCAGAGAAAGAGGTGTGGTAAGGAAGAAGGGTCTGAGTGATGCCATGTGAGATGTGACCAGTCTTTGTGGGCTTTGAGGAAGGAGGAAGGGTACCAGGAGCCAAGGAACATGGGAGCCTCTAGAAGCTGAGAAAAGTGAGAAGCAGATTCTTGCCTGGAACCCTCAGAGGGAAGGCAGCCTTGCTGTCACCTTGATTTTAGCCCAGTGACATGCACGTCATGCTTTGAGCTACAGCACTGTAAGATAATTAAATAACCGTTTTGTTTTCACCCACGAATCTTGTGGAAATTTGTTATGGCAACAATAGGAAAAGCTTCCACACTGCACAGCCTGAGCATGGGGCCGTGGCTGAATGAGTCAGTGAGTCGAAGTGTGCGTGCATGAGCTCTGTTCTCTGTTACGGCAAGGCTCTTGCTCTGCTGAGTCAGCCAGGGTTGCCTGATGACCAACAGTAATTCATTCCTTGGCAAGTGGAACTTCTCTAAAACACCCACCCTCATCAGATGTTCCCTTCCCTTCCCTCTCTCAAGCCCCCGGGAATTTATCCTCCAGTTAGGAATGCAGGCAGAAAAAACACTGCATTTTTCCTGAGAAGGATGTCAGATTGGCAATTATTCTTCTAGCTTGTAGGAGGTCTCACCTGCAGGAAATTAAAGGTAAAGAGACTTCGCTGAGCCCTTTGGTGGCCCTAGATCCCTTTCACTGTTGGAGTGTCTGGAGTTCAGAGATGGTGGAAGACAGGCCCTCATTCACAGAGCTGGGAGGTTTGAGCCAACACTTGCATCCAAGGCTTCCACCTCCCCAGGTTTCCAAAAGCAGAGATAAGAGGGGTCCTTTACTCACCAGATTTGGAGCTTGGTTCTGTGGGTGAAGGCCAACTACTTGAAGGGTTTCCTAGAACACGGGACAGGAGAGATGTGAGGAAATGAGGGTGCTTGTCCTCTACTCAATGGAAATCTTTGAGGTTGGTTCATGGCCAACACTCTGTTATCTAATGTTGGACCCTGGGAGTCTTGGGATCCTTTTCTCCATAATTTTTGTGTGCGATGCCCACTGTCTTGAGACTTGAAGGTATAAAGAGAAAACAGGAGCATCACACTACCTGACTTAGAAATATGTTACAGAGCTGTAGTAAGCAAAACAGCATGACATTGGCATAAAGAAAGGCACATAAAAAATGGAACAGAATGGAGAACACAGATATAATCCATGCATTTACATCCAATGGCTTTCTTTTGTGTGTGTGTGATAGAATCTTGCTCTGTCATGCAGGCTGGAGTGTAGAGGTGCAATCTCAGCTCAATGCAACCTCCACTTCCTGGATTCAAGAAATTCTCTTGCTTCAAACTCCTGAGTAGTGGTATTACAGGCACTGATCACCATGCTCAGCTAATTTTTGTATTTTTAGTAGAGACGAGGTTTCACTCTGTTGGCCAGCCTGGTCTTGAACTCCTGGCTTTAGGTGATCCACCCGCCTCGGCCTCCCAAAGTGCTGGAATTGCAGGTGTGAGCCACCATACCCAGCCCATTTAATGGACTTTGACAAAGGTGCCGAGAACTTACAATCAGGAAAGGACAGTCTTCAATAAATGGTGTGGGGAAAACTGGATATCTACATGCAGAGGAATAAAACTGCATCTATACCTGTCACCTTACACAAAAATCAAATGAAAATGGATTAAAAACATGAGTCTAAGGCCTGAACCTATGAAACATGTAGAAGAAAATAATGGGGAAGACATTTGTCTGACGAAAGACATTTTGTTTAAAACCTTCAAAACACAAGTAATCAAAGCAAAAAATAGACCATTAGGATTACATCAAACCAAGCAACTTCTGCACCACCAAAGATAAACCAACAAAGTGAAGAGACAACCCACAAAATAGGAGCAAATATTTGCAAACTATTCATC
This sequence comes from Homo sapiens, assembly GCF_000001405.40. Classification (NCBI taxonomy): domain Eukaryota; kingdom Metazoa; phylum Chordata; class Mammalia; order Primates; family Hominidae; genus Homo; species Homo sapiens. The sequence goes on along the minus strand of NW_003571060.1, from coordinate 762,436 downwards.
TGAGATGGGATTAATAACTGGAAATATAAGAAGCTCAAACAACTCAATAAAACAATTTAATTAAAAAACGAGCAAAAGACATGAGGAGACATTTCTCCACAAACAAAACATAGAAATGGCGATCACGTATATGAAAAAGTGCTCAGCATCACTCATCATCACAGAAATGTAAATTACAATCGCGATGAGTTTTCATCTCATCCCATTAAAATGCCTTTTAGGCCGGTGGCTCACGCCTGTAATTCCAGCACTTTGGGAGGCGGAGGTGGGCGGATCACCTGAGGTCGGGAGACCAGCCTGACCAACATGGAGAAACTCCCTCTCTACTAAACATACAAAAATTAGCTAGGCGTGGTGGCACATGCCTGTAATCCCAGCTACTTTGGAGGCTGAGGCAGGAGAATCAGTTGAACGCGGGAGGCAGAGGTTGCAGTGAGCCGAGATCACACCCTTGCACTCCAGCCTGGGCGACTATGAGTGAAACTCCATCTCAACATAAATAAATAAATAAATAAAGTAAAGTAAAATGGCTTTTATCTGCAAGACAGGCAAAACAAATGCTGGCAAGATGGTAGAGAAAGGAGAACCCTGGTACCCTGTTGGTAGGAATGTAAATTAGTACAACTATTATGGAGAAAAGTATGGAAAATCTTTAAAAAACTAAAAGCAGGCTGGGCATAGTGGCTTATGCCTGTAACTTCAGCACTTTGGGAAACCGAGGCAGGCACCTCACTTGAGGTCAGGAGTTTGAGAGCAGCCTGCCCAAAATTGGGATATCCCGTCTGTGCTAAAAAATACAAGAATTAGTCAGGCATGGTGGCGTGCACCTGTAATCACAGCTACTAGGGAGGCTGAGTCAGGAGAATCGTTTGAACCTAGGAAGCAGAGGTTGCAATGAGCCAAGATCGCACCACTTTGACTCCAGCTTGGACTAAGGAGGGAAACTCTTTCTCAAAAAAGAAAAAAAAAAAAGAGAACTTTCATAGTGTCCAGCAATTTCACTACTGGGTTTATATCCAAAGGAAAGGACATCAGTGTATCGAAGTGATATCTGCACTCATATGACTGTTCCAGCACTGTTCACAGTAGCCAAGATGTGGAGTCAACCTACCTGCCTATCAGTGGGTGAATGGATAGAGAACTGTAGTACACACACACGGTGGAGACTACTCATCCATAGAAACAATAACATCCTGTCATTTGCAGCCACATGGATGGAACTCGAGGTCATTACAAAGATTCCCATTTCTCACCACATGCAGGAGATAAAAGGTGGATCTCATGAAGGTAGAGAATAGAATGGTGGATACCAGAGGCCAGGAAGGGAAGGGTGGAGGGTAACAAAAAAAAGAATATAGATGTATTTATTTATTTAGAAACAGAGTCTCTCTCTGTCTCCCAGGCTGCAGTGCAGTGGCATGATCTCGGCTCAGTGCAACCTCTGCCTCCTGGCTTTAAGTGCTTCTCCTGCCTCAGCCTCCCAAGTAGCTAGGACTACAGGTGCATGCCGGCATGCTTGGCTAATTTTTCTTGTCTGTTTAGTAAAGATGAATTTCCCGCATGTTGGCCAGGCTGATCTCGAGTCCCTGATCTTAAATGATCCACCTTTCTTGGCCTCTCAAAGCGCCAAGATTACAACCGTGAACCACCACACCCAGCATATAAAGGTATTTATGACCACTAGATTTTACTTTTAAAAATGGTAAAGTTGGTAAATTATATAGTTACATTTAACCTCAATAAATATTTTTGAAAATGAAAAGAAAAGAGTGTAGGGGTTGCTGGTGATGACATCTCTCTGTGTGGGTGAGAGGCCAGGATGGGCTTCTGGGAAATGGGTAAGGTTGAGGGGCTGAGGGAACCTCTGATCTCCCCAAACTGAGCCCAGTCTCCCCTTCTCTGGGTCTGTCCTGACCGCTTTCTCCATCTGCCTGGGTGCCTGGAGCCCTGACCATGGGCCTCCATGCAGGCCATGCAAGAGGGTTTGGAGGTGCCCTGTCTGCCATCCTGCACCCTGACCCCCCCCTCACACCCAGTCTTCGTGTTCTCTCTGCATCTGTCCATGCTTCTCCCCATCATCGGCAGGAAGCTCCTCAGCTATGGCTCTAGGATCATAAGACATGGGACAGACACGGGTTTTCCTCACCTGTGACAGAAACAAGCAGTGGGTCACTTGAGTTTGACCACACGCAGGGCAGGGCACGGAAAGAGCCGAAGCATCTGTAGGTCCCTCCGTGGGTGGCAGGGCCCAGAGGAAAGTCTGCCTGGAATGTTCTGTTGACCTTGGGCACTGCACGGAGCCTACGTTCATGGGCCTCCCCTTCCCTGGACAGATGGTAGATGTCATAGGAGCTCCAGGAGCTACAGGACAAGGTCACGTTCTCTCCTGCCTGAACCGTGGGGCCCGGCTGGGCTGAGAGAGAAGGTTTCTCATATAGACCTGGAAGGAGAAGAGGCAGTTTCCTCAGGGAGGTTCTTCCTTGTCACAGCTCCCCTCATACCTGAGCTGAGAACTCACTCCCCTGCTCTATGACCTAATGCTCTCTCTCTCTCTCACCCTCCACCCCAACTCTCTTCATGTCTATTTCCTCCTTCCGCCTTCTCTGTCTCTCTAGGTCTCTGACCTCACTTCCCCACCCCTGGGTATGCTTTCCCTTTTTGGATTGTTTTATTCTCTCTGACTCTCCTTGGATTGGTTGACTTGATCTTCCTTTTTCTATAATTCTGAGTCTCTCACTTTCTGTCTTGTTCATAACTTTCTGCATATTTCTATCTATTATCTATCTATCTATTTTGTGTCTATCTACAAATTATCTGTCATCTATATCTATGTATCATTTATCTATCAATTGTCTATCTGTCTATCCATCAATCATCTATGTATTATCTGTATCTATGTATCATCTCTCTCTCTCTCTATTACCTCTCTGTCTGCCTGTCAGTCTCTATGTATCATCTATGTATCTATATATTTATATATGTGTCTTCTATCTATCTATCTTCATCATCATCATCATCATCATCTCTATGTATCATCTATCAATCATCATCTATGTATCTATAACCTATCCATTATCTATCATCTACCTATTTATCATCTATCTATATCTATCTATCCATCTATCATCTGTCTCTCTCCATCTCCTTGTCTTTCTCTGCCTCTCAGTCTCTCTAGTTCTATTTGGAATCTCTGCAATCCATCCCCACATCTTTATCTTTCTCTGTCTTTGTGCCCCTCCCTCAGGGTTCTGATTTTGGGGCTTTTCTCTCCTCCCTTCCAGCATTCTCTCCACTCCTCTGCCCTCTTTTCTTTCTTTTTGTGTGTCTGTGAGTCTCTCAATCCCCTTCCTCTGGCTCATTCTCTGTGTGTTTATGCCTTTGCTTTTTGAAGTCCCTGATTTATCTCTGTGTCTCTCAGTGATCCTATTATATGTAGGATTATTTGGAATATGAGCCTCAGAATCTAGTCTGGGGACACCAAGTACACACAGTATTTAGGGGTTGGTGTTCTGGGGCCATGATATCCTGGGATAATTATGGCTCCACTGCATGGAAGGCAGAGGTGTCAGAATAAACATGGCATCTGTAGATGCCACAAGGCCTGAGGCCACAGGGCCCAACTCAGGTCAGAAATATGGGTGTCCTTGGGTTCTCCTCGTAGAAGCACTTTGTGGAGACAAAACAGAAATGAAACTTCTAACCTGTGCCAGGTCTCTGAGCAAAGTCAGCATGGAAGGACACTTCTCTCTGGCACATGTCTGTCTGTCTGAGTGTCTCCTTTACCTCTTTCTCTCTTTTCTACTTCCCCGTATGGCCCCTGTGTCTGTCCTCTGTTATGACACCTGGTCTGTACTTATGTCTCCTGTTTCCCTGTCTCTGTTGGTACAGACCTCACCGAGTCAGTCTCTCTCCATAAGAATCCCACGCTTATCTTCCTCATGACCACCTGGGGGTTCCAAGTCCTGGATCATTCACTCTGTGTCCCAATGACAATGAGAAGAATGTCTGGACACTCTCACCTGTGATCACGATGTCCAGGGGGTCACTGGGAGCTGACAACTGATAGGGGGAGTGAGGAACAGAACCATAACATCTGTAGGTTCCTGCAAGGACAGGCATCAAGGGACCGATGGAGAAGTTGGCCTTGGAGACCCCATCATGGATCTGTCCAACGAGGCGTGAGGGGTCCTCAGAGATCCCATCTCTGTGCAGAAAGAAGTGCTCAAACATGACATCTGACCAACATTGCAGGATGACTGTCTCTCCTGATTTCAGCAGGGGCCCTGGGTGGGCCAGGAGGGAAGGTTTTCTGTGGTTTCCTAGAAAGAGAAGTTGTGAGTTTAGAAGGCATCTCTCTTTATCATCCCATCCATGGCACCTGGAATGAGTGAGGGTTCCCCTCCCAGAGGTCTGTCTCTCTCCTCCCTCTCTGTGTCTCCGTGTCTTTTCTGTGCCCATATCCCCTGGTGCAGGTCCCTCCATTTGTCTTCCTCCCTCTTCTCTGTCCCTCTGTCTCCAGTAGCCCCTGACTCCCTTCCCACTGTGAAGAGAGCCTCATCTCTTGGGCTGTTGTATCTCTTTCCCACTAGTCTCTTTCCTGCTGTCTATGTGAGGGTGGAAGAGGACAGGCTGCATGTCCAGGCTCTCAGCAGCCTGAATCAATCTCTTTTGAACAAATTGGAGTCTCTGGCAGAGGTATCAACTCATCAGTAAGGCAGACATCAGTGTCCACACACCCTGTTCCTGATGGGGATTGGGAGCCTCTCCTGCCATGTCTGTGCCTTCTCCATGGCCCCAGCTTCCATAGGGTGGTCCCTGGTGCTGGTTCCAGGAGCATCAACCCCTTCCTATGTGGATGGAGCCTGGTGGTGGCATCAGCATCCCACCCTTGCTGATCCCACGGTAGCCAACCTTCTCCTTGTTTGGTTTCTTTAATTAATTGATTAATTAATTTATTTTTGAGACAGTCACTTTTTCACCCAGGCTGGAGTGCAGTGGTGTTGTCTTGGCTCACTGCAACCTCTGCCTCCCCGGTTCAAGTGATTCTCTTGCCTCAGCCTCCCCAGTCGTTGGATTACTCGTGCCCACCACCACACCTGGCTATCCTTGTTTGGTTTCCTAGCTTGTCCTTGACCTGGGTTCCTGTGTCGGTTTCCTGTTGCTGCTGCAGAAAATTATCACAAACATGGCAGCAGGAGAGAACACACTGACCCCTTCCACTTCTGGGGACAGAAATTGGATCCAGTTCTCCCTGTGCTGAAATCAAGGCATCTGCAGGGCTGCGTTCCCTCTGGAGACTCAGCGAATCAGTTCTCTTGACTTCTCCAGCCCTTAGAGGCCACCTGCATTCTGTGACTAGTGGCCTTCCTCCACCTTCAAAGCCCACAGTGGCTGATAGCGTCTCCCTCCCACTACACTGCTCTAATCCCCACTCCCCTCTTCCTCCACCTCTCACGCGGACCCTTGTGATTACACTGAGCCCAGCAGGACAGTCCAGGCTGTCTCCCCATCTCAAGGTCAACTCATCAACAACCTGAGCTCCACCTTCCCCTTCAGTCCCCTGCCCTATAACATAAATAGTCACAGGCTCCAGGGTTTACAATGTAGCCATCATTGGCGACAGTTATTCTTCCCACCACAGCGCCCATTTCCCCTGTATTCAATCTCCCTTGACCCCAAATACAGTTGGGGCCTGGGTGATGGGACCCTGATGGACACCCCCACCAGAAGCTCTGGGATTCAGGAGGTGGGACAGTGAGAAGCCCAGACAGAAAGCCTCTGACCTGTGACCATGATCACCAGGGGGTTGCTGGGTGCCGACCACCCAGTGAGGGAGTGTGGGCGTGAACCCCGACATCTGTAGGTCCCTGCATGTGCTGGGGTCACAGGGCCCATGATGAAGCTCTCCTGGAATATTCTGCCGTGGAAGATGGGAACGTGGCTTCTGTCTTCTTTGTACAGCATGAAATTGTTAAACCCACGACGATAGTGACACTGAAGAGCCACGTGTCCTCCTCGAGGCACCACAGTGCTGGGCCGGGCAGACAGGAAGGGTTTGTCCTGACCACCTGGGGGAGAAGGAGGCACTGCCTTAGAGAGGAGGATGTGGAGCCACCCCTCCCTCCCTGTGCTCAGAAGATTCTCCCATTTCCGCTTTCTAAGGCTCCTACCACACCTGGGTGCCCAGGGCTACAGGAAGGACCCACCCCACATAGACATGGCGTCTCCCTACAACAAGTGTCAGCTGAGAACTTTGAGCAAGTGCTGAATAAGTGACTCTTACTAGATTTTAATACTGCAAAATTACTCACATAAAACAACACAAAGTAGACACGGCATGGAGGGCATGTCCTATGTGAATGGAATATCAGCCAATTCATGAACTGAGCCCCCTCAGAGGATTTGGAATGTCAGGGCCATGGCTGTGGTTTCCCCCCTCTTCTGGTAGAAAGACCGCAGCCACACTGCAGCCCCTACCGTCACGGAAACGCTGGAGGGTGTCAGTTATACCTTTGTCCTCAGAGGACCTGCTGTTCCTAGCACTGCTTCCCTCTCTTTCTCTGCTGCTGACACCACTTCCTCCCTGCACACCCCAGCTTGGAGCACCCCAGTCTCACCCCAGTCTTCACAGAGCTTGACTCAGGAAAGGGAAAGAAAGGCCGGGGAGGGCGAGGTCAGAAATGTGGGCCGAGTATCCAAGGGTCCCCTCTTCCTAGTTTATGAGAGACTCCCCGACAGGACTTCCCTCCTGTTTCAGAAAAATCCTCTTATGTGGGGAGATGACACCCTAAGGTTTGGGGAAGGACTCACCCATGAGTGGCCAGGCCCCCTGCAGCAAGAAGAACCCTGGAAAGAAAGATCATGATAGACGATCCAACTGCAGGCAAACCAGGGCACCCTGCTGCCCCCACTGCACTGTGTGTCTTGGCAGCCAGGCCCTTGCTGGGCTGAAGGTAAACTTAGCCTCCCTGCTACCTGCTGCCAAGAACAGGGCTCTCAGCTGTGGAGAGACCCAGGCTCCAGGCCCAGATCAACACTTCCTGGCCCAGATCTCCACTCCAGGCCCATATCTCCACTCCAGGCCCCTATCTCCACTCCAGGCCCCTATCTCCACTCCAGGCCCATATCTCCACATCAGACCCATATCTCCACTCCAGGCCCAGATCTCCCCTCTAGGCCCATATCTCCACTCCAGGCCCATATCTCCACTCCAGGCCCATATCTCCACATCAGACCCATATCTCCACTCCAGGCCCAGATCTCCACCTGCAGGCCCATATCTCCACTCCAGGCCCATATCTCCACTCCAGGCCCGTATCTCCACTCCAGGCCCATATCTCCACACCCAGGCCCATATCTCCCCTCCAGGCCCATATCTGCACTCCAGGCCCATATTTACACCTCCAGGCCCATATCTCCACACCCAGGCCCATATCTCCACTCCAGGCCCATATCTCCACTCCAGGCCCATATCTTTACCTCTAGGCCGAGATCTCCATCCCCACTCTCCCTCCCTCTATTCCCTTCCAGGACTCACCAACGCACGCCATGCTGACGACAGTGAGCGACATGGTGCTGCCGGTGCAGACAGGAGGCCGCGCCCCAGCTCAGCTCAGCAGCGCACAGGATGTTATTTGGCGCCCTGCCCATGCAGTTTACATGTTGACCACATCATGGGAGGGTGACGTACGCAGGCTCTTTCTACCTTGCATGAGGCCCAGTGGGTGCTCGCTCAAGAGCGGAACATGGCTTCCTGGAAATTGTTGTGACTACAATTGCCACCTTGCATCCTTCACTATGACCAGACTCAAAAGACGTCTCAGATCCAACCTCTCACACATGAGGTGATTGAATTCTGTGCTTACATTAAAGACTTTTGATGTATTTTTGTTTTTATCTGAGATTCAAACTTTTCTTCATGTGTAATGTGCAAAATATCTAAGAGGTATTATTAACATTATCAGAGTAATTGTGACAAAAAGCCATTCTAATTTTCCTGATGAGTTTCTAGTACTAAACCTGAGGCACGAGAATTGCTTGAACCTGGGAGGCGGAGGCTGCAGTGAGCTGAGCTCAAGCCACTGAACTCCAGCTTGGGTGACAGAGGAAGAGTCTGTCTCAAGAAAGAAAAAAAAAAGCAAACTAAATAACCTATAATAACAAATCAGAGAACTCAGGTTACCAAATTTTAAGGGGTTCTATAAGTTTATATGAAATGCAGCATCCTCATGAGAGGGGATACAGAGAACCACTGGGCAGAAAACTGTGTCTAAAATACATCTGTGGATACACAGTCCCTTTATAGTTGACAAAGGCTGCCATGTAGTTTAAGGTGGAATAGAATATTTTCTCAATAAATAACACAGGACCATAGGGTTACACGTAGGAAAAAATAAATCTAAACTTATCCTCACACTATAAAAACACTTCTTATTTTTTATCTTGTTGTTGTAAACTTTTTATGCTTTATTTTTAAGATTGACAAATAAAAATTATATACTGTGGTCCTTCACTATTCCTGGGTGATTGGTTCCAGGATCCCCATTCAGATACCAAAATCTGCAGATGCTCAAGCCCCTTGCATGAAATGGCATAGCGAAGCTGGGCACCGTGGCTCACGCCTGTAATCCCAGCACTTTGGGAGGCTGAGTTGGGTAGATCACGAGGTCAGGAGTTCAAGACCAGCTGGTCCAACATTCTGAAACCCCGTCTCTACTAAAAATACACACACAAAAAAATTTATCTGTGCATGGTGGCACGTGCCTGTAATCCTAGGGGAGGCTACTGGGGAGGCTGAGGGAAGACAATCGCTTGAACCTGGGAGGCAGAGGTTGCAGTGAGCTGAGATCATGCCACTGCACTCCAGCCTGGGTGAGAGAGTGAGACTGTCTCAAAAAAAAAAAAAAATAGCATAGCAATTGCATAGAACCCATGCACATCCTCCTGTATACATGAAATCATCTCTTGATTACTTATAATTCCTGACACAGCCTACACGCCACTCAATTTGTGTCGATTCAACATAGTTTTTTGCTTCTTGAAACTTCGGGGATTTTTTTCTGAAAATATTTTTGATTTATTGTTGGTTCAATAAACACCTGTAAACCCCACAGATATGGAGGACCGACTGTATATTTATATTATGAAAGATGATATGTTGATATGTGTCCCCGTGGAGATGAGACTAACAAGGCCTATGTCTCTACAAATGTTTCATCGTGGAATGACTCTGCCAGCTTTCCAGGTCTGCAGAGAGTAAGAATATCACTTGTTCATGTGATTCACGATCCTTGGAGCCTCCTATGTGCTGTATCTTTGGATGGAAATTGGAGTCTCAGAGACAAATCAGGCTACATTCTGCTTCCAGAAGCTCAGAGTCCAGGGCTGAGAACCCAATGGAGAACAGATGGGGTTATGTGGACATGGTAATGATAACACCGGAAGCCTTAGGCAAGAAAAGAGTCTCGTTACCGAAACCATGAGGGCAGACATGTTTATTTGAAGGCGGGAAAACTACATTGAAATTATTTAAAAAATTTATAAGTTTTACTGCTGGCAGAAGGCTGAAAGATAGTCTGAAGGGAGGTGGAACAGCACGTGTCTAAGTGCTGTGTTAAGAGGCAGCCTCTTGTATGTTTGGAATTGTGAGTTCCTCAGTGTGATTGCAGCCTCAGGTAGACTAGGAAGTAAGCCAGTTAGGTTGGAGAGGTGGGCAGGGGTCAAGTGAAATGGAGAATTGTGGGCTAAGCAAAGGAGTGTGTTTTCTCTCCAGCAGGCAGTGGGGACCTTAGACATTTGTAAGCAAGAGAGAGGCATGTTCAGATTCGTGGTGTGAGGAAGAGCGATGCCCTAAGATGAAGACTGATGCCTTCAGATTCCAGCTGCTGGTACATGGGAGCTGGCAACCCGGTTTTGAGACAGGGCTGTTGTCTCCCTAGAAGATCCCCTCAAGGCCTGACTGTGGTGCTCGTGGACAGAAGACAACTTTGGATCTGGGCTCAGCATTTGGAAGTTCTATGTACATGCTGGTATCTGTTGGGGGTGTCTTGGGCCTCTCAGAAGGGCGAGTGATTTTTCTCTGTGTGAAAACACAGTGATCCAATTATGCGTATGACACCTCCTGATGGTCTTGTTCATCAGAATCCTGGAGAGAGGGAAATGCTGAGTGAGGGAGGGTGCTCACATTTTTCAGGACTCTTTGGGAATAAGACTAGCCACGAGGCTGGGCCGAGGAGCACCTACCTCGCTGTTCACTGTTCTGTTCCCTGCAGGCTCTTGGTCCATTACAGCAGCATCTGTAGAAGACGGAAGTCAACAAAAGAGCTCGGAGGGCACTTCTGGGTCCTCATTTCATAAGCAGATACCAACAAACAGGGGGAGGCCATAGGTGCCTGAGGTCCCTCAGTTGCCAACAGCAGACTCAGACATTCTATCTCTCTGAGTTCAAGGACCCATCCCATGAATAGCTCTGAGTTCCCATCCCATTGATTCTATCTCCCACTTTCTGCCTGTCATGGAACCTTCTCCTGGATGTGAGTGGCTGCAGGGGACGTGAGGATACAGTTCAGAATCAGGCAATGGTCTGTGAGCTGAAGGCAGGGGAAGGGAATCTGGTGCTCTCTCTAGAAAGTCCTGCCTCTGTGGCTCCTGTCTTGGGCCAGGGACCATCCTGCTGGTGAGGAACACACATCCGCGTGCTCCCATCCTGCTTCCCCACATGGCCCTGAGCTCTCTGGCCTCTGCTTCGTGAGACTTACTTTTTTTGTCGGAGCACCAGCGATGAAGGAGAAAGAAGAGGAGGATGGTGAAAGGGATTTTGACCACTGAGGTCCCAATCAGAACATGTAGGTGTCTGGGGTTACCTGGAAGAAGAGGAGACACCAATAAGAAGCTAATCATAGCAGTTCCTCTTTATGAATTGTCTCGCATTTCTTGATTGGCAGGTAACCACATACAACGTCTCTTTAGGACAAGCACCCAAATGGCGGGAGACCTAGCTTTCCCCTGCTTTCTCAATTATAGCTCTCATAGTAACCATAGAACGTGCTGAGGATACAACTACTTTAGTTGAGATGTTTGACCCTTTCAAACCTCACATTGAAATTTCACCCCCATTGTGGGAGGTTGGGCCTCTTCAGAGGTGTTTGGGTCATGGAGGTGGATCCATCATGAACAGATCAATGCTGTCCCAAGGAGACGGGGTTAGCAAGTTCCCCCTCTGTTAGTTCCTGGAGAGCTGGTTGTTAAAAAGAGCTTGGAAGCTCCATCGCTCCCTCTCCCCCTTACTCTCTCTCTTGCCGTGTGATCTCTGCGGTCTCTGCACAGACAGACCCTCCTTCCCTTCTGCCAGAGTGGGAGCAGCCTGAGGCCGTCAAGAGAAATAGATTCTGGTGCCATGCTTCCAGTACAGCCTGCAGAACTGTGAGGCAAACCAATCTCTTTTCTTTAGAAGTTACCCAGGCTCAAGTGTTCCTTTAGAGCAACAAAAATGGACTAAGATAGCAACATCCTGAGATCAGGAGGAATGTCTCAGAACAGCCTGGGCTGTCTTCCTGTTCTTCCTGGAGGAGGACGTCATGCAGTGCTTTAGCTGAGTGCTTCCTGTGGCTCCAGGGTACAAAACCCAGGCTGGGCTGCTTTCTGGCTTCCCCCAGTTACACTGCAAATGGGGTGACTCCATATGTCCCGAGCAGCTTTTCTGAGCCTTGAGGGACTGGCTCACATTGAAATGCAGGCTTCTGTTGTCACTCGCTGCTTATCTGTTAGTAATGAACCTGCCTATGTAACGTATCCTCTGTGTGTTCTGTCTCCCTGGAGTGACGGTGAGTGATAGGAATTGGCATAGGCCCAGGTGCAGTCCAGGATTTGTTTAGAGTCTTCTCTGGGAAGACTGCACTGGGATTGATACACAGCGAATGTGCTTTAGGATTTCTACATCCACAGCATTCTTGAGTCAAACAAATTGCATTCACCAAGGAAAGGAAACAAAGGTGAAATCACGATTAAAAATAGCGAAGCAAGATTCTCTTATGTCAAACAGCCAGAAAATAGTGTTGAAGCCCGTGTGAAATGTGCTGCTCTTTGTGATCTCGGGAGACACATGTTAGGCTGCTGTTCTACCCGAGAGGCTGGGGGAAGGACCACCCCCTCCACCATCTATTGCTTCAATACCACCTGTCCTCCTGTGAATTAGTAGGAAAGGGGAACAGGAGCTAGTGCTGTCGCTGATCTCTGATTCCAAGATCTGGACTCACTCCAAGGAATATTAATGTTTCCTCCCCATGGTCTATCTGAATCTCCACAGGTGATTGGAAGTAGGGGTGAGGTGGGCGATTTGGGTGAGTGGGCAAGTTTTTTTTTGCGATGACCAGAGCACTTTCTCTATTCCAGGATCCGTGCTGGAGGATTCAGCGGGCTTTCACATTTTCTATGTGATCTCATGCTCACAGAAAGCCAAATAGGGAAGAGGTTTTAGGCTGATTGCCTAATGGATAAGATAAAGGATCAAAGAAGTAATTATAGAGAAATAGAAAAATGATGATTGGAATTCAGGTGCCTTTGTCATTCGTGTGTGTTTTATTATATTTATGCATTTCTTATTTTTATTTTTTGAGACGGAGTCTCCTTGTGTCACCCAGGCTGGAGTGCAGTGATGCAATCTCCACTCACTGCAACCTCCACCTCCTGGGTTGAAGTCATTCTCCTGCTTCATCCTCCAGAGTAGGAGCTGGGATTACAGGGATGCACCACCATGCTCGGCTAATTTTTGTATTTTTAGTACAGATAGGGTTTCACCATGTTGGCCAGGCTGGTCTGGAACTCCTGACTTCATGGAATCCACCCGCCTTGGCCTCCTGCAGGGCTGGGTTACAAGCATGAGCCACCGTTCACAGACTTGTATATTATGCTATAATAGGTCCCTTCATTTCCACCACCCCTCATATATCTGTCACTCCTTTGCCAGGTATTGATTTATGTGTAGGATGAATAAATCTCAGAAAGAAATTAATTAAGCGAGGATTAAACAAGTAGGAAAATCAAACCCAGCAAGCCTTTCCAGCCAATGATTCTACCTCACAAGCATATCTTATATCCATCTACTTCATTCATTTAGTGTCTAAATCAGCACCACATTTCACCAGTGGGGCGGCAATTGCCTTTTCCACAGTCTCCTAGATTCCAGTTACGCACCTGGGCCTCCCTTATTTTCTTGTCAGTCACTATTAATCATGTAGGGATTCCTGGTTACCCCGAGGTGAATCCAATGGCTGTGAGTGTCAAACACACACTCCTTGTTCCTCCTTAGTTTCCTGTGTACCCAGAGTGCTCTCCATCTCTCTACAGTCATCTTGTCATTCTCCCCACCTCATTCCCAGCATTTCAGGCAGAGCCTCTTCCTTCAACATCAGATTGTTTTCACCTTTGTGCCTTCACAGCTGACAGCTGTGTGTGGAAAATCCTTCCGCCAATCTTTCAGGGGTTCAATCCGTGTTTTTCATTAATGTCACAAATATCTGATTAGTGAGACCTTCTCTGTCACCCAAAATTATACACTCAGCATTATCTATTATTTATTTTGAATTCTGGCTGGGCAAAGTGGCTCACGCCTGTAATCCCAGTACTTTGGGTTGCTGAGATGGTCGGATCACTTGAGGTTGGGAGTTTCAGACAAGCTTGGCCAACATGGTGAAACATCCTCTCTACAAAAAATATACAAAAAGAATTAGCCGGGCATGGTGGCAGTTGCCTGTAATCCCAGCTACTCGAGAGGGTGAGGCAGGAGAATCACTTGGATCCAGGAGACGCAGGTTGCAGTGAGCCAAGATCGTGACACTGCACTGTAGCCTGGAAGACAGAGGGAGACTCTGTCTCAATAAACAAACGAACAAACAAACAAATAGATTTCATGCACAGATGCTTCCCAATGGATCATTCATTTATTGGTCCACTTGTGCATTCATTTTCTGTCCTCCCATTTAACCATCTGCAATATCAGTGTCCCAAGAGCAGAGGCCAAATGCATCTTGTTCACCATTTGTGGAAGGCAGGAGAATGCTGTCCCACCCCAAAATGTCCCTGTCCTAGCCTCCATAGCTTGTGAATATGTTATTTTACATGGAAAGGAGGAATGAAGATTGCAGATGGAATTATGGTTGCTAATCAGCTGAACTTAAAACAAGGGTATCCTGAATGATTTCCGGGAGATTATGACGGATTTTCATCTTGGTGAACCCAATAGAATCCCCAAGTTTTCAAAAGATGAGGAAGAAGGGAGAGCAGCATTCAGAGAAAGAGGTGTGGTAAGGAAGAAGGGTCTGAGTGATGCCATGTGAGATGTGACCAGTCTTTGTGGGTTTTGAGGAAGGAGGAAAGGGACCAGCAGCCAAGGAACTGGGAGCCTTTATAAGATGGGACAAGTGAGAAGCAGATTCTTGCCTGGAATCCTCAGAGGGAAGGCAGGCTTGCTGTCATCTTGATTTTAGCCCAGTGAGATGCACTTCATGCTTTGAGCTAGAGCACTGTAAGATAATTAAATAACCGTTTTGTTTTCACCCACGAATCTTGTGGAAATTTGTTATGGCAACAATAGGAAAAGCTTCCACACTGCACAACCTGAGCATGGGGCCGTGGCTGAATAAGTCAGTGAGTCAAAGTGTGCGTGCATGAGCTCTGTTCTCTGTTACGGCAAGGCTCTTGCTCTGCTGAGTCAGCCAGGGTTGTTTCATGACCAACAGGAGCTCATTCCTTGGCAAGTGGAACTTCTCTAAAACACCTCGCCCTCATCAGATGTTCGCTTCCCTTCCCTCTCTCAAGCCCCCAGGAATTTATCCTCCAGTTAGGAATGCAAGCAGAACAAACATTGCGTTTTTCCTGAGAAGGATGTCAGATTGGCAATCATTCTTCTAGCTTGTAGGAGGTCTCAGCTCCATAAAATGAGAGATGAAGAGATTTCACTGAGCCCTGTGTTGGGCCCAGATCCCTTTCGCTGTTGGAGTATCTGGAGTTCGGAGATGGTAGAAGACAGGCGTACAATGTCAGAGCTGTGAGATGCTGAGTCAACGCCTGAATCCAAGGTTTCCACCTCCCCAGGGTTCCAAAAGCGGATATAAGAGGGTCCTGTACTCACCGGTTTTGGAGCTTGGTTCAGTGGGTGAAGGCCAACTATTTGAAGGGTTTCCTAGAACATGAGACAGGAGAGAGGTGAGGAAATGAGGGTGTCTGTCCTCTACTCAGTGGAAATCTTTGAGTTTGGTTCATGGCCAACACTCTGTTATCTAACATTGGGCCCTGGGAGTCCAGGGATCCTTTCTTCCATAATTTTTGTATGTGACGCCCACTGTCTTGAGACTTCAAGGTATAAAGAGAAAACAGGAGCATCACACTACCTGATCTCAAAATATGTTACAGAGCTGTAGTAAGCAAAACAGCATGATGTTGGCATGAAGAAAGGCACATAGAACAACGGAGCAGAATGAAGAACACAGATATAATCCATGCATTTACATCCAATTTTTTTTATTTTTTCTTTTGAGATGGAGTCTTGCTCTGTCACCCAGGCTGGAGTGCAGAGGTGCAATCTCGGTTCACTGCAACCTCAGCCTCCTGGGTTCAATCAATTCTCTTGCCTCAAACTCCTGAGTAGTAGTATTACAGGTGCTGACCACCATGCTCAGCTAATTTTTATATTTTTAGTGGAGACGATGTTTCATCACGTCGGCCAGAGTAATCTTGTACTCCTGTCCTCAGGTGATCCACCAGCCTTGGCCTCCCAAAGTGCTGAAGTTGCTGGTGTTAGCCACCATGCCCAGCCCATCCAATGGACTTTGACAAAGGTGCCAAGAACTCACAATCAGGAAAGGACAGTTTTTTCAATAAACAGTGCAGGGAAACCTGGACATCTACATGCAGAGGAATGAAACTGCACCTCTACCTGTCACCATACACAAAAATCAAATGAAAGTGGATTAAAGATGTGAGTCTAAGGCCTGAACCTGTGAAACACGTAGAAGAAAATATTGGGGAAATGCTCCAGTACATTTGTCTGAAGGAAGACATTTTGTTTTAAACCTTCAAAACACAAGTAATCGAAGCAAAAATAGACCATTGGGATTACCTCAAACTAAGCAACTTCTGCACCGCTAAAAATAAACCAACAAAGTGAAGAGACAACCCACAGATTGGGAGCAAATATGTGCAAACTATGCATCTGAGACGGGATTAATAACTAGAAGTATAAGAAGCTCAAACAACTCAATAAAACAAATGATTTAATTGAAAAAGGAGCAAAAGACATGAAATTTCCCCACATACGAAAAAGTGCTCAGTATCACTCATCATCAGAGAAACGCGAATTAAAATCAAAGTGAGTTTTCATCTCACCCCATTAAAATGGCTTTTAGGCCGGGCGAGGTGGCTCACGTCTGTCATCCTAGAACTCTGAGAGCCCGAGGTGGGCGAATCTCATAAGGTCGGGAGTTTGAGACCAGTCTGACCCACATGGAGAAACGCTGTCTCTACTAAAAATACAAAAATTAGTCGGGCGTGGTGGTGTGTGCCTGTAATTCCAGCTACTCGGGAGGCTGAGGCAGGAGAATCGCTTGAACCTGGGAGGTGGAGGTTGCGGTGAGCCGAGATCGCACCACTGCACTCCAGCCTGGGTGACAAGAGCGAAACTCCATCTCAAAATAAAATGAAATAAAATAAAATGGCTTTTAGCTGCAAGACAGGCAAAACAAATGCTGGCAAGGTGGTAGAGAAAGGAGAACCCTGGTACCCTGTTGGTAGGAGTGTAAATTAGTACAGCCATTACGGAGAAAAGTATGGAAGTCCTTTAAAGAACTAAAAAGAGGTTGGATGAAGTGGATCATGCCTGTAATCCCGGCACTTTGGGAGACCGAGGCGGGCACCTCAGTTGAGGTCATGAGTTTGAGAGCAGCCTAGCCAACCTGGGGAAACCCCATGTACACTAAAAAAAACCAAAAAGTATCCCGGCATGGTGGCGTGCACCTGTAATCCCAGCTACTAGGGAGGCTGAGGCAGGAAAATCATTTGAACCCAGGAGGCGGAGGTTGCAATGAGCCAAGATCACATCACTTGTACTCCAGCCTGGGCACAGAGGGAAACTGTCTCAAAAACAAAAACAAAACAACAAACGAAAAACTAAAAAGAGAACTTTCATAGTATCCAGCAATTTCACTACTGGGTTTATATCCAAAGGAAAGTAAATCAATGTATCGAAGTGATATCTGCACTCGTATGATTGGTGCAGCACTCTTCACAGTAGCCAAGATGTGGAGTCAACCTACCTGCCCATCAGTGGATGAATGGATAGAGAGAATGTAGTACATACGCACAGCGGAGACTACTCATCCATAGAAAGAATAACATCCTGATATTTGCAGCCACATGGATGGAACTGGAAGTCATTACAAATATTCTCATTTCTCACCCATATACAGGAGCTAAAAGGTGGATCTCATGAAGATAGAGAGTAGAATGGTGGCTACCAGAGGCCAGGAAGAAAAGGGTGGAGGATAAAACAAACAAACAAAAAATTTATATGTATGTATTTATGACCACTAGACCTTACACTTAAAATTGGTAAACGTGGCCGGGCGCGGTGGCTCATGCCTGTAATCCCAGCACTTTGGGAGCCTGAGGCGGGTGGATCACGTGGTCAGGAGTTCCAGAGCAGCTCGACCAACATGGTGAAACCCCCTCTCTACTAAATATACAAAAAGTAGCCCGGCGTGGTGATGGGCGCCTGTAGTACCAGCTACTCAGGTGGCTGAGGCAGGAGAATCGCTTGAACCCAGGAGGCGGAGGTTACAGTGAGCTGAGATTGTGCCACTGCATTCCAGCATAGGAGACAGAGCTAGACTCCACCTCAAAAAAAAAAAAATGTTAAAAGTGGTAAGCTATATAGGTATATTTAACCTCAATGAATATTTTTTCAAACAAAAAGAAAAGGATGTAGGGGTTGCTGGTGATGACATCTCTGTGTGGGTGAGAGGCCAGGAAGGGCTTCTGGGAAATGGGTAAGGTTGAGGGGCTGAGGGAACCTCTGATCTCCCCAAACTGAGCCCAGTCTCCCCTTCTCTGGGTCTCTCCTGACCGCTTTCTACATCTGCCTGGGTTTCTGGAGCCCTAATCGGAGGCCTCCATGCAGGCCATGCAGGAGGGTTTGGAGGTGCTGTGTGTGCCATCCTGCGCCCTGATCCCTCCCTCACAGGCATGCTGCGTCTTCTCTCTGCATCTGTCCATGCTTCTCTCCATCATCAGCAGGAAGCTCCTCAGCTAAGGCTCTAGGATCATAGGACATGGGACAGATATGGGGTTTCCTCACCTGTGACGGAAACAAGCAGTGGATCACTCGAGTTTGACCACTCGTAGGGAGCGTCACGGAAAGAGCCGAAGCATCTGTAGGTCCCTCCGTGGGTGGCAGGGCCCAGAGGAAAGTCGGCCTGGAATGTTCCGTTGATGCTGCGCACTGCAGGGAGCCTACGTTCATGGGCCTCCCCTTCCCTGGATAGATGGTACATGTCATAGGAGCTCCGGGAGCTGCAGGACAAGGTCACATTCTCTCCTGCCTGAACCGTGGGGCCCGGCTGGGCTGAGAGAGAAGGTTTCTCATATAGACCTGGAAGGAGAAGGGGCAGTTTCCTCAGGGGGGATCTTCCTTGTCACAGCTCCCCTCACACCTGACCTGAGAACTCACTCCCCTGCTCTATGGCCTAATGCTCTCTTTCTCTGTCTCACCCTCCACCCTATCTCTCTTCATGTCTATTTCCTCCTTCCACCTTCTCTGTCTCTGTAGGTCTCTGACCTCACTTCCCTACCTCTAGTTATGTTTTCCTTTTTTGGATTGTTTTATTCTCTCTGGCTCTCCTTGGATTGGTTGACTTGATGTTACTTTTTTTAACTCTGAGTTTCTCAGTTTGTGTCCCGTTCATAACTTTCTGCATATTTCTATCTATTATCTATCAATCCATCTATTTATCTATTCGGTGCCTATCTACAAATTCTCTACCTGTCATCTATATCTATATATCATCTATTTATCTATCAATTGTCTATCCGTCAATCATCTATTATCTATATATATGTATCATCTCTCTCTCTCTATTATTTCTCTCTTTGTCTTCCTCTCTATCTCTATGTATTATCTATCCATCTATCTTCATCATCATCATCTCTATGTATCATCTATTAATGAATCAATCAATCATCATCTATGTATCTATAACCTATTATCTATCATCTACCTATATATCATCTATCTATATCTATCCATCATCTATCTGTATCTATCCATCTATCATCTGTCTTGCTCTGCCTCTCGGTCTCTCTAGTTCTCTTTGGAATCTCTGCAATTCATCCCCACATCTCCATCTTTCTATGCCCTTGTGCCTCGCCCTCAGGACTCTAATTTTAGTGGTTTTCTCTGCTCTCTTCCATCATTCTCTCCACTTCTCTGCCCTCTTCTCTCTCTTTATGTGTCTGTGAGTCTCTCAATCTCCTTCCTCTGGCTCTTTCTCTGTGTGTTTATGTCTTTGCTTTTTGGTGTCCCTGATTTCTCTCTGTGCTTCTCAGTGATCCTCTCATATGTGATATGTGGGGTTATTTGGAATGTGAGCCTCAGAATCCAGTCTGGAGACCACAAGTTCACACAGCATACAGGGGTTGGTGTTCTGGGGCCATGATATTTTGGGACGATTATTCTCCATTGCATGGAAGTCAGAGGTGTCAGAATAAGCATGGCATCTGTAGGTGCCACAAGGCCTGAGGCCACAGGGCCCAACTCAGGTCAGAAATATGGGTGTCCTTGGGTTCTCCTGGTAGAGAACACTTTGTGGAGGTAAAACAGAAATGAAACTTCTAACCTGTGCCAGGTCTCTGAGCAAAGTCAGCATGGAAGGACACCTCTGTCTGGGACATGTCTGTCTGTCTCCTTTAACTCTTTCTGTCTTTTCTAACTCCCGGTATGGCCCCTGTGTTTGTCCTCTGTTATGACACCTGGTCTGTACTTGTGTCTCTTGTTTCTCTGTCTCTGTTGGCACAGACCTCACCAAGTCAGTCTCTCTCCATAAGAATACCAAGCTCATCTTCCTTACAACCACCTGGGTCTCCAAGTCCTGGATCATTCACTCTGCATCCCAATGACAATGAGAAGAATGTCTGGACACTCTCACCTATGATCACCATGTCCAGAGGGTCACTGGGAGCTGACAACTGATAGGGGGAGTGAGGAACAGAACCGTAGCATCTGTAGGTTCCTGCAAGGACAGGCATCATGGGACCAATGGAGAAGTTGGCCTTGGAAACCCCATCATGGTGCTCTCCAATGAGGTGCAAAGTGTTGTTAAACTTCCCCTCTCTGTGCAGAAGGAAGTGCTCAAACATGACATCCGACCAACATTGCAGGATGACTGTCTCTTCTGATTTCACCAGGTGACCTGGGAGGGCCAGGAAGGAAGGTTTTCTGTGGACTCCTAGGAAGAGAGGTTGTGAGTTTAGAAGGTGTCTCTCTTTATCATCCCATCCATGGCACCTGGAATGAGTGAGACTTCCCTTCGCTGGTGTCTGTCTCTCTGCTTCCTCTCTGTGTCTTCATGTTCTTTTCTGTGCCCATAACTCCTGGTGCAGGTCCTTCCATCTGTCTCCCTCCCTCTTCTCTGTCCCTCTGTCTCTAGTAGCTGTGATTCCCTTCCCACTGGGCTCAGCCTCATCTCTTGGGCTGTTGTATCTATTTCACACTAATGTCTTTCTTACTGTCTATGTGGGAGTGGAAGAGGAAGCAGGATAGGCTGCACGTCCCGGCTCTTAGCAGCCTGGTTCAATCTCTTTTGGACGAATTGGAATCCTTGGCAGGAGGTATGAACTGATCAGTAAGGCAGGCACCAGTGTCCACACACCCTGTTCCTGGTGGGGACTGGGAGCCACTCTTGCCATGTCTGTGCCTTCTCCATGGTGCCAGTTTCCATAGGCTGGCTCCTCGTGCTGATTTGAGGAGTATCAACCCCTCCCTATGTGGATGGAGCCTGGTGGTGGCATCATCATCCCACCCTTGCTGATCTCGGTGTAGCCAACCTTCTCTTTGTTTGGTTTCTTTAATTAATTAATTAATTTTGGAGACAGAGTCTCACTCCTTCACCCAGGCTGGAGTGAAGTGGTGTGGTCTACGCTCACTGCAACCTCTGTCTCCTGGGTTCAAGCGATTCTCCTGCTCTCAGCCTCCCGAGTCGCTAGGATTACATGCACCTGCCACCATGCCTGGCTATCCTTGTGTCTTTTCTTAACTTGTCCTTGACCTGGGTTCCAGTGTTGGTTTCCTGTTGCTGCTGTAGAAAATTATCAGAAGCATGGCAGCAGGAGAGAGCACACTGACCCCCTCCGATTCTGGAGACAGAAAGCGGACCCTGTTTTTCGAGGGCTAAAATCAAGGCA
Organism: Homo sapiens; assembly: GCF_000001405.40. Classification (NCBI taxonomy): domain Eukaryota; kingdom Metazoa; phylum Chordata; class Mammalia; order Primates; family Hominidae; genus Homo; species Homo sapiens. The sequence goes on along the minus strand of NW_003571060.1, from coordinate 740,989 downwards.
TCTGCAGGGCTGTGTTCCCTCTGGAGACTCAGGAGAATCAGTTACTTGACTTTCCCAGCCTCTATAGGCCACCTGCATTCATGGCTTATGGCCTTCATCCACCTTCAAAGCTAATGGAGTCTCCCACTACGCTGCTCTAATCCCCACTCTCCTCTTCCTCCTCCTTTCATGTGGACACTTGTGATTATATTGAGCCCACCGGGACAGTCCAGGCTGTCTCCCCATCTCAAGGTCAACTCATCAACAACCTGAGCTCCATCTTCCCCTTCAGTCCCTTCCCCTATAACATAAATAGTCACAGACTCCAGGGATTAGAATGCAGTCATCACTGGGGACACTTATTCTTCCCACCACAGCACCCATTTCCCTGTATTCAATCCCCCTTTACCCCAAATACAGTTAGGGCCTGCGTGATGGGACCCTCAAGGACATGCCTACCAGAAGCTCTGGGATTCAGGAGGTGGGACAAGGAGAATCCCAGACAGGAGCCCTCTGACCTGTGACCATGATCACCAGGGGGTTGCTGGGTGCCGACCACCCACTGGGGGAGTGTGTGTGTGAACCCCGGCATCTATAGGTCCCTGCATGTGACGGGGTCACAGGGCCCATGAAAAGGCTTTTCCAGAATATTCTGTTGTACAGCTCAGGGACAGGCACCCCATCATCCTTGTACAGACTGAAGTTGTTAAACCCAAGATTAGAGTGACACTGAAGAGTCACATGTTCTGGAGGCACCACAAGGCTGGGCCAGGTAGAAAGCAAGGGCTTGTCCTGACCACCTTGGGGTGAAGGAGGCGCCGCCTTAGAGAGGAGGATGTGGAGCTGTGCCTCCCTCCCTGTGCTCAGAAGATTCTCCCCACTTTCCACATTTCTATGGCTGCTATCACACCTTGGTGCCTAGGGCTAAAGGAAGGACCCATCCCACAAAGACAAGGTGTCTCCGTACAACAAAAGTGTCAGCTGAGAACTTTGAGCAAGTGCTGAGTAAGAGACTCCTACTAGATTTTAATACTGTAAGATTACTGACATAAAACAACACAGGGTAGACATGAAGTGGAGGGCATGTCCTTTGAGAATGGAATATCAGCAGTTGCCTGAATGAAAATAAAAAACTTAGCCCCCATCAGAGGATTTGGAATGTCAGGGCCATGGCTGTGGTTTCCCACCTCTTCTGGTAGAATGACAGCAGCCACACTGCAGCCCCTACCGTCATGGAAACGCTGAAGTGTGTGAGTAACACCTTTGTCCTCAGAGGATCTGCTGTTCCTACCACTTCCCCACCACACAACCCAGCTTTGAACACCCTAGTCCAACCCTGGTCCCCACACAACTTGACTCTGCCAAGGGGTTGAGAGGCCAGGGAGGCAAGGTCGGAACTGTGGGCCGAGCACCCCAGGGTCCCCTCTTCCTAGTTTATGAGAGACTCCCTGACAGGACTTCCCTCCCGTTTCAGGAAAATCCTCTTATGTGGGGAGATGACACCCTAAGGTTTGGAGAAGGACTTACCCTCCTGTGGCCAGGCCCCCTGCAGCAAGAAGAACCCTGGAAAGAAAGATCATGATGGAAGATCCATTTGCAGGCAAACAAGGCCTTCCTTGCTGCCCCCACTGGGCTGTGAGTCTTGATAGCCAGCCCCTTCCTGGGCCGAAGGTAAACTCACCATCAGTGCCTACCTGCACCCAAGAACAGTGCTCTCGGCTGTACAGAGACCCAGCCTCCAGGCCCATATCCCCACCCCAAGCCCATATCTCCACTCCAGGCCCATATCTCCACTCCAGGCCGATATTTCCACCCTAGACCCATATAGCCAATCCGGGCCCACATCTCCAATCCAGGCTCAGATCTCCACCCTCGGCCCATATCTCCAATCCAGGCCCATATCTCCACTCCAGGCCCATATCTCCACTCCAGTCCCATATCTCCTCTCCAGTCCCATATCTCCACTCCAGGCCCATATCTCCACCCCAGGCCCAGATCTCCACCTCCAGGCCCATAACTACACTCCAGGATCATATCTCCACTCCAAGCCCATATCTCCACATCAGGCCCATATCTCCACTCCAGTCCCATATCTCCACACCCAGGCCCATATCTCCATTCCAGGCCCATATCCCCATCCTAGGCCCATATCTCCACCGTAGGCCCAGATCTCCACTCCAGGCCCATATCTCCACTCCAGGGCCATATCTCCACTCCAGGCCCATATCTACACACCAGGCCCATATCTCCACCCCATGCCCATGTCTCCACTCCAGACCCATATCTCCACCCCACGCCCATATCTCCACTCCAGGCCCATATCTCCAACCCACGCCCATATCTCCACCTCCAGGCACATATCTCCACCCCACGCCCGTATCTCCACTCCAGTCCCATATCTCCACTCCCGGCCCATGTCTCCACCCCATGCCTATATCTCCACTCCAGTCCCATATCTCCACTCCAGGCCCATATCTCCACTCCAGACCCATATCTCCACTCGGCCCATGTCTACACTCCAGGCCCATATCACCACCTCCAGGCCCATATCTCCACTCCAGGCCCATATCTCCACCTCCAGGCCCGTATCTCCACTCCAGACCCATATGTCCACTCCAGGCCCATATCTCCACTCCAGGCCCATATCTCCACTCCAGGGCCATATCTCCACTCCAGGCTCATATCTCCACTCCAGGCCCATATCTCCACTCCAGGGCCATATCTCCACTCCAGGCTCATATCTCCACTCCAGGCCCATATCTCCACTCCAGGGCCATATCTCCACTCCAGGCCCAGATCTCCACCTCCAGGCCCGTATCTCCACTCTAGTCCCATATCTCCACTCCAGGCCCATATCTCCACCTCCAGGCCCATAACTTCACTCCAGGCCCATAACTCCACTCCAGGCCCATATCTCCACCTCCAGGCCCATATCTCCACTCCAGGGCCATATCTCCACTCCAGGCTCATATCTCCACTCCAGGCCCATATCTCCACTCCAGGGCCATATCTCCACTCCAGGCCCAGATCTCCACCTCCAGGCCCCTATCTCCACTCTAGTCCCATATCTCCACTCCAGGCCCATATCTCCACCTCCAGGCCCATAACTTCACTCCAGGCCCATAACTCCACTCCAGGCCCATATCTCCACCTCCAGGCCCATATCTCCACTGCAGACCCATATCTCCACTCCAGGCCCATATCTCCACTCCAGGCCCAGATCTCCACTCCAGGCCCAGATCTCCACTCCAGGCCCAGATCTCCACCTCCAGGCCCCTATCTCCACTCTAGTCCCATATCTCCACTCCAGTCCCATATCTCCACCTCCAGGCCCATAACTTCACTCCAGGCCCATAACTCCACTGCAGACCCATATCTCCACTCCAGGCCCATATCTCCACTCCAGGACCATATCTCCACTCCAGGCTCATATCTCCACTCCAGGCCCGTATCTCCACCTCCAGGCCCATAACTTCACTCCAGGCCCATAACTCCACTCCAGGCCCATATCTCCACTCCAGTCCCATATCTCCACTCCAGCCACATATCTCCACCCTAGGCTCCTACCTCCCCTCCAGGTTCCTATCTCTCCTCCAGGTTCCTCTCTCCACTCCAGGTTCCTATCCCCACTCCAGGCCCATATCTCCACTCCAGGCCCAGATCTTCACTCCAGGCCCAGATCTCCACTCCAGGCGCAGATCTCCACTTCTAGGCTCATCACTCCATCTCTAGGCCCAGATCTCCACTCCAGGCCCATAACTCCACCTCCAGGCCCATATCTCCACCTCTGGGCCCAGATCTCCATCCCCACGCTCCCTCCCTCTATTCCCTTCCAGGACTCACCAACACACGCCATGATGATGACCATGAGCGACATGGTGCTGCCGGTGCAGACAGGCGGCCGCGCCCCAGCTCAGCTCAGCAGCACACAGGATGTTATTTGGCGCCCTGCCCATGCAGTTTACATGTTGACCACATCATGGGAGGGTGACGTACGCAGGCTTTTTCTACCTTGCATGAGGCCCAGTGGGTGCTCGCTCAAGAGCGGAACATGGCTTCCTGGAAATTGCTCTCACTAGAATTGACACCTCGCGTCCTTCACTATGACCAACTCAAAACATGTCTTAGATCCAACCTCCCAAACATGAGATGCCTAAAATCTGTGCTAACATGAAAGACTTTTCATGAATTTTTATTGTTTTTATCTGAGATTCGAACTCTTCTTCCTGTGTAATATGCAAAATATCTAATAGGTATTATTAGTGTTTTCAGAGTCATTGTGACTAATAAACCATTAGAATTGTTCATGCTTGTATTTCTAGTATTACAGCAGAACCAGTTCAAATGATTTAAATTCCCAGGGAAGGATTATGCAATTATTTACAATCTTAGAATTGTACTTTATCAGCAAAAACCACACATGTAAATTCTGGATTTTTGTAGTTTTATCTATAATTTGTCTCATGACTCAAGATTCCAGAGTCCCAACTTTGGAGTTTGCTCTCTCTCTGTCTCTCTGCCTCCCTCATTTTAAATTTTACAGAAATATCCAGTAACATAATGCTATAGAAAATCAAGTTTCCCCCAGCAGGTCGGGAAGCCGAGGTGGGCGGATCAACTGAGATGAGGAGATTGAGAGCAGCCTGGCCAACATAGTGAAACCGTGTCTCTGCTAAAAATCCAAAAATTAGCCGTGCCTGGTGGCAGGCACCTGTAACGCCAGCTACTCAAGAGGCTGAGGCACGAGAATCGCCTGAACCTGGGAGGCGGAAGTTGCAGTGAGCTGAGATTGCTCCACTACAGTCCCGCCTGGGCGACAGAGCAAGACTCCGCCTCAAGAAAAAAAAATAGCAAGTAGCCTATAATAACAAATTAGAGGGCTCTGGCTACTAAATTTAAAGGGTTTTATAAGGCTACATGAAGTGCAGCATCCTCAAGAGTGTGGACACAGAGAGCCCCTTAGCAGAAACAGTGTCTAAAATACATCCGTGTACACACAGTCCCTTTAGAGTTGACAAAGGCTGCCGTGTGGTTTAAGGTGGCATAGAATGTCTTCTTAATAAATAATATTAAACCAAAGGGTTACACGTAGGAAAAAATAAATCTAAACTTATTCTCACACTATAAAAACACTTCTTACTTTTTATCTAGTTATTGTACATTTTTTATGATTTATATTTAAAATTGAGAAATAAAAGTCATATACGGTCATCCTTTACTATTCGTGGGTGATTGGTTTCAGGATCTCCACTCAGGTACCAAAATCTGCAGATGCTCAAGCCTCTTACATAAAATGACACAGCATTTGGATATAACCCATGCACATCCTCCTGTATACATGAAATCATCTCTTGATTACTTATAATTCCTGATACAGCCTACACACTGCCTCATTTGTGTCCATTCAACATAGTTTTGCATTTTGAAACTTTGTGGACATTTTCTCTGAATATTTTTGATTTACACTTGGTTCAATAAACACCTGTAAACCCCACAGATATGGAGGAGCGACTGTATATTTATAGTATGAAATATGATGTGTTGATATGTGTCCCCGTGGAGATGAGACTAGCAAGGCTTATGACTCTACAAATGTTTCATCGTGGAATGACTCTGCCAGCTTTCCAGGTTGCAGAGAGTAAGAATATCACTTGTTCATGTGATTCACGATCCTTGGAACCTCCTATGTGCTGCATCTTTGGATGGAAATTGGAGTCCCAGAGACAAATGAGGCTCCACCCTGCTTCCAGAAGCTCAGAATCCAGGGGTGAGAACCCAGCGGAGAACAGATGGGGTTATGTGGACATGGTAATGATAACAGCGGTTTCTTTCAGCGAATACAGTGTCACATTACCTGAAGCAATGAGGGCAGACATGTTTATTTGAAGAGGAGACAGCTACATTGAAATCACAAAAAATTTTATAAGTTTCACTGCTGACAGAAGGCTGGAAAATAGTCCGAAGAAAGGTGAAACAGCATGAGGGAAGGTGGAACAGCACGTGGGTAAGTGCCACGTCAAGAGGGAGCCTCTTGTATGTTTGGAATTGTGAGTTCCTCAGTGTGATTGCAGCCTCAAGTAGACTAGGAAGTAAGCCAGTTAGGTTGGAGAGGTGGGCAGGGGTCAAGTGAAATGGAGAACTGTGGGCTAAGCAAAGGAGTGTGTTTTCTTTCCAGCAGGCAGTGGGGACCTAGACATTTGTAAGCAAGAGAGAGGCACCAGATTTGTGGCGTGAGGAGGAGCGATGCCCTAAGATGAAGACTCACGCCTTCAGATTCCAGCTGCTGGTACATGGGAGCTGGCAACTCGGTTTTGAGACAGGGCTGTTGTCTCCCTAGAAGACGTCCTCAAGGCCTGACTGTGGTGCTCATGGGCAGGAGACAACTTTGGATCTGGGCTTAGCATTTGGAAGTTCCGTGTACAAGATGGTATCTGTAGGGGGTGTCTTGGGCCTCTGAGAAGGGCGAGTGATTTTTCTCTGTGTGAAAACGCAGTGATCCAACTGTGCGTATGTCACCTCCTCAGGGTCTTGTTCATCAGAGTCCTGGAGAGAGGGAAATGCTGAGTGAGGGAGGGAAATGCTGAGTGAGGGAGGGTGCTCACGTTTTCCAGGACTGTTTGGGAATAACACTAGCCACGAGGCTGGGCCGAGGAGCACCTACCTCGCTGTTGGCTGTTCTGTTCCCTGCAGGCTCTTGGTCCATTACAGCAGCATCTGTAGGAGACGGAAGTCAACAAAAGAGCTCGGAGGGCACTTCTGGGTCCTCATTTCATAAGCAGATACCAACAAACAGGGGGAGGCCATAGGTGCCTGAGGTCCCTCAGTTGCCAACAGCAGACTCAGACATTCTATCTCTCTGAGCTCAAGGACCCATCCCATGAATAGCTCTGAGTTCCCATCCCATTGATTCTGTCTCCCACTTTCTGCCTCTCATGGAACCTTCTCCTGGATGTGAGTGGCTGCAGGGGACATGAGGATACAGTTCAGAATCAGGCAACGGTCTGTGAGCTGAAGGCAGGGGCAGGGAGTCTGGTGCTCTCTCTAGAAAGTCCTGCCTCTGTGGCTCCTGTCTTGGGCCAGGGACCATCCTGCCAGTGAGGAACACACAGCTGTGTGCTCCCATCCTGCTTCCCCACATGGCCCTGAGCTCTCTGGCCTGTGCCCCGTGAGACTTACTTTTTTTGTTGGAGCACCAGAGATGAAGGAGAAAGAAGAGGAGGAGGATGAAGAGGATGATGACCACTGAGGTCCCAATCAGAATGTGCAGGTGTCTGGGGTTACCTGGAAGAAGAGGAGACACCAGTAAGAAGCTAATCATAGCAGTTTCTCTATATGAATTGTCTTGCATTTCTTGATTGACAGGTAACCACTTACAGCATCTCTTTCGGACAAGCACCCAGATGGCGGGAGACCTAGCTTCCTCCTGCTTTCTCAGTTATAGCTCTCATAGTAACCATGGAACGTGCTGAGGATACAACTACTTTAGTTGAGATGTTTGACCCCTTCAAACCTCACATTGAAATTTAACCCCCAGTGTGGGAGGTTGGGCCTCTTGGGAGGTGTTTGGGTCATGGAGGTGGATCCATCATGAACAGATCAATGCTGTCCCAAGGAGACGGGGTTAGCAAGTTCCCTCTCTATTAGTTCCTGGAGAGCTGGTTGTTAAAAAGAGCTTGGAAGCTCCATTGCTCCCCCTCCCCCTTGCTCCCTCTCTTGCCGTGTGATCTCTGTGGTCTCTGCACAGACAGACCCTCCTTCCCTTCTGCCAGAGTGGGAGCGGCCTGAGGCCATCATAAGAAATAGATGCTGGTGCCATGCTTCCAGTACAGCCTGCAGAATGGTGAGGCAAACCAATCTCTTCTTTAGAAGTTACCCAGGCTCAAGTGTTCCTTTAGAGCAACAAAAATGGACTAAGACAGCAAAGTCCTGAGATCAGGAGGATCGTCCCAGAACAGCCTGGGCTGTCTTCCTGTTCTTCCTGGAGGAGGACGTCATGCAGTGCTTTAGCTGAGTGCTTCCTGTGGCTCCAGGGTACAAAACCCAGGCTGGGCTGCTTTCTGGCTTCCCCCAGCTACACTGCAAATGGGGTGACTCCACATGTCTCGAGCAGCTTTTCTGAGCCTTGGGGAACTGGCTCACATTGAAATGTAGGCTTCTGTTGTCACTCGCTGCTTATCTGTTAGTAATGAACCTGCCTATGTAACGTATTCTCTGTGTGTTCTGTCTCCCTGGAGTGACGGTGAGTGATAGGAATTGGCATAGGCCCAGGTGCAGTCCAGGAGGTGTTTAGAGTCTTCTCTGGGAAGACTGGACTGGGATTGATACACAGCGAATGTGCTTTAGGATTTCTACATCCACGGCATTCTTGAGTTAAACAACTTGCATTCTCCAAGAAAAGGAAACAAAAGTGAAATCAATATAAAAAAAGCGAAGTAGAATTCTCTTATGTCAAACAGCCAGAAAATAGTGTTGAAGCCCGTGTGAAATGTGCTACTCTTTGTGATCTCGGGAGACACATGTTAGGCTGCTGTTCTACCTCAGAGGCTGGGGGAAGGACCACCCCCTCGACTATCTATTGCTTCAATACCACCTGTCCTCCTGTGAATTAGTAGGAAAGGGGAGCAGGAGCTAGTGCTGGCACTGATCTCTGATTCCAAGATCTGGACTCACTCCAAGGAGTATTAGCATTTACCTCCCCATGATCTATCTGTATCTCCACAGGTGATTGGAAGTAGGGGTGAGATGGGGGATTTGGGTGAGGGGGCAAGTTTTTTTTGTGATGACCAGAGCACTTTCTCTATTCCAGGATTTGTGCTGGAGGATTCAGCGGGCTTTCACATTTTCTATATGATCTCATGCTCACAGAAAGCCAAATACGGAAGAGGTTTTAGGCTGATTGCCTAATGGATAAGATAAAGGATCAAAGAAGTAATTATAGAGAAATAGAAAAATGATGATGGGAATTCAGGTGCCTTTGTCATTCGTGTGTGTTTTATTATATTTATGCATTTCTTATTTTTATTTTTTGAGATGGAGTCTCCTTGTGTCACCCAGGCTGGAGTGCAGTGATGCGATCTCCACTCACTGCAACCTCCACCTCCTGGGTTGAAGTCATTCTCCTGCTTCATCCTCCAGAGCAGGAGCTGGGATTACAGGGATGCACCACCATGCTCGGCTAATTTTTGTATTTTTAGGAGAGATAGGGTTTCACCATGTAGAGATAGGGTTTCTCCATGTTGGCCAGGCTGGTCTCGAACTCCTGACTTCTTGGAATCCACTGGCCTTAGCCTCCTGCAGTGCTGGGTTACAGGAGTGAGCCACCGTTCACAGACTTGTATACTATGCTATAATAGGTCCCTTCATTTCCACCACCCCTCATATATCTGTCACTCCTTTGGCAGGTATTGATTTATGTGTAGGAGGAATAAATCTCAGAAAGAAATTAATTTAGCAAGGATTAAACAACTAGGAAACTCAAACCCAGCAAGCCCTCCCTGCAAATGATTCTACCTCCCAAACATAGCTTATATCCATCTGCTTCATCCACTTAGGGTCTAAATCAGCACCACATTTCACCAGTGGGGCGGCAATTGCCTTTTCCACTGTCTCCTAGATTCCAGTTACGCACCTGGGCCTCCCTTATTTTCATGTCAGTCACTATTAATCATGTAGGGATTCCTGGCTACCCCGAGGTGAATCCAATGGCTGTGAGTGTCAAACACACACTCCTTGTTGCTCCTTAGTTTCCTGTGTACCCAGTGTGCTCTCCGTCTCTCCACAGTCGTCTTGTCATTCTCCCCACCTCATTCCCAGCATTTCAGGCAGAGCCTCTTCCTTCCACATCAGATTGTTTTCAGCTTTCTGCCTTCACGGCTGACAGCTGTGTGTGGAAAATCCTTCCGCCAATCTTTCAGGGGTTCAATCCGTGTTTTTCATTAATGTCACAAATATCTGATTAGTGAGACCTTCTCTGTCACCCAAAATTATACACTCAGCATTATCTATTATTTATTTTGAATTCTGGCTGGGCAAAGTGGCTCACGCCTGTAATCCCAGTACTTTGGGTTGCTGAGATGGTCGGATCACTTGAGGTTGGGAGTTTCAGACAAGCTTGGCCAACATGGTGAAACATCCTCTCTACAAAAAATATACAAAAAGAATTAGCCGGGCATGGTGGCAGTTGCCTGTAATCCCAGCTACTCGAGAGGGTGAGGCAGGAGAATCACTTGGATCCAGGAGACGCAGGTTGCAGTGAGCCAAGATCGTGACACTGCACTGTAGCCTGGAAGACAGAGGGAGACTCTGTCTCAATAAATAAATGAACGAACAAACAAATAGATTTCATGCACAGATGCTTCCCAATGGATCATTCATTTATTGGTCCACTTGTGCATTCATTTTCTGTCCTCCCATTTAACCATCTGCAATATCAGTGTCCCAAGAGCAGAGGCCAAATGCATCTTGTTCACCGTTCGTGGAAGGCAGGAGAATGCTGTCCCACCCCAAAATGTCCCTGTCCTAGCCTCCATAGCTTGTGAATATCTTATTTTACATGGAAAGAAGGAATGAAGATTGCAGATGGAATTACGGTTGCTAGTCAGCTGAACTGAAAACAAGGGTATCCTGAATGATTTCCGGGAGATTATGATGGATTTTCATCTTGGTGAACCCAATAGAATCCCCAAGTTTTCAAAAGATAAGGAAGAAGGGAGAGCAGCATTCAGAGAAAGAGGTGTGGTAAGGAAGAAGGGTCTGAGTGATGCCATGTGAGATGTGACCAGTCTTTGTGGGCTTTGAGGAAGGAGGAAGGGGACCAGGAGCCAAGGAACTGGGAGCCTTTAGAAGCTGGGACAAGTGAGAAGCAGATTCTTGCCTGGAATCCTCAGAGGGAAGGCAGCCTTGCTGTCACCTTGATTTTAGCCCAGTAAGATGCACTTCCTACTTTGAGCTACAGCACTGTAAGATAATTAAAAAACCGTTTTGTTTTCACCCACGAATCTTGTGGAAATTTGTTATGGCAACAATAGGAAAGGATTCCAACTGCACAGCCTGAGCATGGGGCCGTGGCTGAATGAGTCAGTGAGTCGAAGTGTGCGTGCATGAGCTCTGTTCTCTGTTACGGCAAGGCTCTTGCTCTGCTGAGTCAGCCAGGGTTGCTTCATGACCAACAGTAATTCATTCCTTGGCAAGTGGAACTTCTCTAAAACACCTCGCCCTCATCAGATGTTCCCTTCCCTTCCCTCTCTCAAGTCCCCAGGAATTTATCCTCCAGTTAGGAATGCAGGAAGAAAAAACACTGCATGTTTCCTGAGAAGGATGTCAGATTGGCAATCATTCTTCTAGCTTGTAGGAGGTCTCACCTGCAGGACATTAAAGGTTAAGAGACTTCGCTGAGTCCTTTGGTGGCCCTAGATCCCTTTCACTGTTGGAGTGTCTGGAGTTCAGAGATGGTGGAAGACAGGCCCTCATTCACAGAGCTGGGAGGTTTGAGCCAACACTTGCATCCAAGGCTTCCACCTCCCCAGGTTTCCAAAAGCAGAGATAAGAGGGGTCCTTTACTCACCAGATTTGGAGCTTGGTTCTGTGGGTGAAGGCCAACTACTTGAAGGGTTTCCTAGAACATGGGACAGGAGAGATGTGAGGAAATGAGGGTGCTTGTCCTCTACTCAATGGAAATCTTTGAGGTTGGTTCATGGCCAACACTCTGTTATCTAATGTTGGACCCTGGGAGTCTTGGGATCCTCTTCTCCATAATTTTTGTGTGCGATGCCCACTGTCTTGAGACTTGAAGGTATAAAGAGAAAACAGGAGCATCACACTACCTGACTTAGAAATATGTTACAGAGCTGTAGTAAGCAAAACAGCATGACATTGGCATAAAGAAAGGCACATAAAAAATGAAACAGAATGGAGAACACAGATATAATCCATGCATTTACATCCAATGGCTTTTTTTGTGTGTGTGTGTGTTAGAATCTTGCTCTGTCATGCAGGCTGGAGTGCAGAGGTGCAATCTCAGCTCAATGCAACCTCCACTTCCTGGATTCAAGCAATTCTCTTGCCTCAAACACCCGAGTAGTGGTATTACAGGCACTGGTCACCATGCTCAGCTAATTTTTGTATTTTTAGTAGAGACGAGGTTTCACTCTGTTGGCCAGCCTGATCTTGAACTCCTGGCTTCAGGTGATCCACCCGCCTCGGCCTCCCAAAGTGCTGGAATTGCAGGTGTGAGCCACCATACCCAGCCCATTTAATGGACTTTGACAAAGGTGCCGAGAACTTACAATCAGGAAAGGACAGTCTTTTCAATAAATGGTGTGGGGAAAACTGGATATCTATATGCAGAGGAATAAAACTGCATCTATACCTGTCACCATACACAAAAATCAAATGAAAATGGATTAAAAACATGAGTCTAAGGCCTGAACCTATGAAACATGTAGAAGAAAATAATGGGGAAGACATTTGTCTGACGAAAGACATTTTGTTTAAAACCTTCAAAACACAAGTAATCAAAGCAAAAAATAGACCATTAGGATTACATCAAACCAAGCAACTTCTGCACCACAAAAGATAAACCAAGAAAGTGAAGAGACAACCGACAAAATAGGAGCAAATATTTGCAAACTATTCATCTGAGACGGGATTAATAACTGGAAATATAAGAAGCTCAAACAACTCAATAAAACAATTTAATTAAAAAACGAGCAAAAGACATGAGGAGACATTTCTCCACAAACAAAACATAGAAATGGCGATCACGTATATGAAAAAGTACTCGGCATCACTCATCATCAGAGAAATGTAAATTACAATCGCGATGAGTTTTCATCTCATCCCATTAAAATGCCTTTTAGGCCGGTGGCTCACGCCTGTAATTCCGGCACTTCAGGAGGCGGAGGTGGGCGGATCACCTGAGGTCGGGAGACCAGCCTGACCATCATGGAGAAACTCCCTCTCTACTAAACATACAAAAATTAGCTAGGCGTGGTGGCACATGCCTGTAATCCCAGCTACTTTGGAGGCTGAGGCAGGAGAATCAGTTGAACGCGGGAGGCGGAGGTTGCAGTGAGCTGAGATCACACCCTTGCACTCCAGCCTGGGAGACTATGAGTGAAACTCCATCTCAACATAAATAAATAAATAAAATAAAGTAAAGTAAAATGGCTTTTACTGCAAGACAGGCAAAACAAATGCTGGCAAGATGGTAGAGAAAGGAGAACCCTGGTACCCTGTTGGTAGGAATGTAAATTAGTACAACTATTATGGAGAAAAGTATGGAAATTCTTTAAAAAACTAAAAGGAGGCTGGGCATAGTGGCTTATGCCTGTAACTTCAGCACTTTGGGAAACCGAGGCAGGCACCTCACTTGAGGTCAGGAGTTTGAGAGCAGCCTGCCCAAAATTGGGATATCCCGTCTGTGCTAAAAAAATACAAGAATTAGCCAGGCATGGTGGCGTGCACCTGTAATCACAGCTACTAGGGAGGCTGAGTCAGGACAATCATTTGAACCTAGGAGGCACAGGTTGCAATGAGCCAAGATCTCACCACTTAGACTCCAGCTTGGACTAAGGAGGGAAACTCTTTCTCAAAAAAGAAAAAAAAAAAAAGAGAACTTTCATAGTGTCCAGCAATTTCACTACTGGGTTTATATCCAAAGGAAAGGACATCAGTGTATCGAAGTGATATCTGCACTCATATGACTGTTCCAGCACTGTTCACAGTAGCCAAGATGTGGAGTCAACCTACCTGCCCATCAGTGGGTGAATGGATAGAGAACTGTGGTACACACACACAGTGGAGACTACTCATCCATAGAAACAATAACATCCTGTCATTTGCAGCCACATGGATGGAACTGGAGGTCATTACAAAGATTCCCATTTCTCACCCACATGCAGGAGATAAAAGGTGGATCTCATGAAGGTGGAGAATACAATGGTGGACACCAGAGGCCAGGAAGGGAAGGGTGGAGGGTAACAAAAAAAAGAATATAGATGTATTTATTTATTTAGAAACAGAGTCTCTCTCTGTCTCCCAGGCTGCAGTGCAGTGGCATGATCTCGGCTCAGTGCAACCTCTGCCTCCTGGCTTTAAGTGCTTCTCCTGCCTCAGCCTCCCAAGTAGCTAGGACTACAGGTGCATGCCAGCATGCTCGGCTAATTTTTCTTGTCTGTTTAGTAAAGATGAATTTCCCACATGTTGGCCAGGGTGATCTCGAGTTCCTGATCTTAAATGATCCACCTTCCTTGGCCTCTCAAAGCGCCGAGATTACAACCGTGAACCACCACACCCAGCATATAAAGGTATTTATGACCACTAGATTTTACTTTTAAAAATGGTAAAGGTGGTAAATTATATAGTTACATTTAACCTCAATAAATATTTTTGAAAATGAAAAGAAAAGGGTGTAGGGGTTGCTGGTGATGATATCTCTCTGTGTGGGTGAGAGGCCATGATGGGCTTCTGGGAAATGGATAAGATTGAGGGGCTGAGGGAACCTCTGATCTCCCCAAACTAAGCCCAGTCTCCCCTTCTCTGGGTCTGTCCTGACCGCTTTCTCCATCTGCCTGGGTGCCTGGAGCCCTGATCGGAGGCCTCCATGCAGGCCATGAAGGAGGGTTTGGAGGTGCCCTGTCTGCCATCCTGCGCCCTGACTCCGCCCTCACACCTGCTGTGTCTTCTCTCTGCATCTGTCCATGCTTTTCTCCATCATCAGCAGGAAGCTCCTTAGCTAAGGATTTAGGATCATAGGACATGAGAGAGATATGGGCTTTTCTCACCTGTGACAGAAACAAGCAGTGGGTCACTCGGGTCTGACCACTCGTAGGGAGAGTGACGGAAAGAGCCGAAGCATCTGTAGGTCCCTCCGTGGGTGGCAGGGCCCAGAGGGAAATCTGCCTGGAATGTTCTGTTGACCTTGCGCACTGCAGGGAGCCTACGTTCATGGGCTCCCCGCTCCCTGGATAGATGGTACATGTCATAGGAGCTCCGGGAGCTGCAGGACAAGGTCACGCTCTCTCCTGCCTGAACCTTGGGGCCCGGCTGGGCTGAGAGAGAAGGTTTCTCATATGGACCTGGAAGGAGAAGAGGCAGTTTCCTCAGGGAGGTTCTTCCTTGTCATAGCTCCCCTCATACCTGAGCTGAGAACTCACTCCCCTGCTCTATGACCTAATGCTCTCTCTCTCTCTCTCACCCTCCACCCCATCTCTCTTCATATCTGTTTCCTCCTTCTACCTTTTCTGTCTCTCTAGGTCTATGACCTCACTTCCCCACCCTGAGGTATGTTTTCCCTTTTTGGATTGTTTTATTCTCTCTGACCCTCCTTGGATTGGTTGACTTGATCTTCCTTTTTCTTTAATTTTGAGTCTCTCACTTTCTGTCTTGTTCATAACTTTCTGCACATTTCTATCTATTTATCTATTTTGTGTCTATCTACAAATTATCTATCATCTATATTTATGTATCACTTATCTATCTCTCTATCAATTGTCTATCTGTCTATCTATCCATCAATCATCTATTATCTATATATGTATCATCTATCTCTCTCTCTATTACCTCTCTGTCTGCCTCTCTGTCTCTATTTATGTATCATCTATGTATATATCTATGTGTCTATCATCATCATCGTCATCTCTATGTATCATCTATCAGTCATCATCTATGTATCTATAACCAATCCATTATCTATCATCTACCTATTTATCATCTATCTACGTCTATCTATCCATCTATCATCTCTCTCTCTCCGTCTCCTTGTCTTTCTCTGCCTCTCAGTCTCTCTAGTTCTATTTGGAATCTCTGCAATCCATCCCCACATATTTATCTTTCTCTGTCTTTGTGTCCCTCCCTCAGGGTTCTGATTTTGGGGCTTTTCTCTCCTCCTTTCCATCATTCTCTCCATTCTGCCCTCTTTTCTTTCTTTTTATGTGTCTGTGAATCTCTTAATCTCCTTCTTCTGGCTCATTTTGTGTGTGTTTATGTCTTTGTTTTTTGGTGTCCCTGATTTTTCTCTGTGTCTCTCAGCGATCCTATCATATGTGGGATTATTTGGAATATGAGCCTCAGAATCCAGTCTGGGGACCCCAAGTTCACACAGCATACAGGGGTTGGTGTTCAGGGGCCATGATATCCTGGGATGATTACTCTCCATTGCATGGAAGGCAGAGGTGTCAGAATAAACACGGCATCTGTAGGTGGCACAAGGCCTGAGGCCACAGGGCCCAACTCAGGTCAGAAATATGGGTGTCCTTGGGTTCTTCTGGTAGGAACACTTTGTGGAGGTAAAACAGAAATGAAACTTCTAACCTGTGCCAGGTCTCTGAGCAAAGTCAGCATGGAAGGACACCTCTCTCTGGGACATGTCTGTCTGTCTGAGTGTCTCCTTTACCTCTTTCTCTCTTTTCTACCTCCCTGTATGGCCCCTGTGTCTGTCCTCTGTTATGACACCTGTTCTGTACTTATGTCTCCTGTTTCTCTGTCTCTGTTGGTACAGACCTCACCAAGTCACTCTCTTTCCATAAGAATCCCACACTTATCTTCCTCATGACCACCTGGGGGTTCCAAGTCCTGGATCATTCACTCTGTGTCCCAGTGACAATGAGAACAATGTCTAGACACTCTCACCTGTGACCACGATGTCCAGGGGATCACTGGGAGCTGACAACTGATAGGGGGTGTGAGTAACAGAACCGTAGCATCTGTAGGTCCCTGCAAGGGCAAGCATCATGGGACCGATGGAGAAATTGGCCTTGGAGACCCCATCATGGATCTGTCCAACGAGGCGTGAGGGGTCCTTAGAGATCCCCTCTTTGTGCAGAAAGAAGTGCTCAAACATGATATCTGACCAACATTGCAGGATGACTCTCTCTCCTGATTTCACCAGGGGACCTGGGTGGGCCAGGAGGGAAGGTTTTCTGTGGTTTCCTAGAAAGAGAAGTTGTGAGTTTAGAAGGCATCTCTCTTTATCATCCCATCCATGGCACCTGGAATGAGTGAGGGTTCCCCTCCCCGTGTCTGTCTCTCTCCTCCCTCTCTGCATCTCCGTGTCTTTTCTGTGCCCATATCCCCTGGTGCAGGTGCCTCCATCTGTCTTCCTCCCTCTTCTCTGTCCCTCTGTCTCCAGTAGCCCCTGACTCCCTTGCCACTGTGAAGACAGCCTCATCTCTTGGGCTGTTGTATCTGTTTCCCACTAATCTCTTTCCTGCTGTCTATGTGGGGGTGGAAGAGGAGAGGCTGCATGTCCAGGCTCTTAGCAGCCTGAATCAATCTCTTTTGAACAAATCCCCAGTTCAAGTGATTCTCTTGCCTCAGCCTCCCCAGTCGTTGGATTACTCGCGCCCACCACCACATCTGGCTATCCTTGTTTGGTTTCCTAACTTGTCCTTGACCTGGGTTCCTGTGTTGGTTTCCTGTTGCTGCTGCAGAAAATTACCACAAACATGGCAGCGGGAGAGAACACACTGACCCCTTCCACTTCTGGAGACAGAAATTGGATCCAGTTCTCCCTGTGCTGAAATCAAGGTGTCTACAGGGCTGCGTTCCCTCTGGAGAATCAGCGAATCAGTTCTCTTGACTTCTCCAGCCCTTAGAGGCCACCTGCATTCTGTGACTAGTGGTCTTCCTCCACCTTCAAAGCCCGCAGTGGCTGATAGCGTCTCCCTCCCACTACACTGCTCTAATCCCCACTCCCCTCTTCCTCCACCTCTCATGTGGACCCTTGTGATTACACTGAGCCCAGTGGGACAGTCCAGGCTGTCTCCCCATCTCAAGGTCAACTCATCAACAACCTGAGCTCCACCTTCCCCTTCAGTCCCCTGCCCTGTAACATAAATAGTCACAGGCTCCAGGGATTACAATGTAGCCATCATTGGGGACAGTGATTCTTCCCACCACAGCACCCATTTCCCCTGTATTCAATCTCCCTTGACCCCAAATACAGTCAGGGCCTGGGTGATGGGACCCTGACGGACACCCCCACCAGAAGCTCTGGGATTCAGGAGGTGGGACAGTGAGAAGCCCAGACGGAAAGCCTCTGACCTGTGACCATGATCACCACGGGGTTGCTGGGTGCCGACCACCCAGTGGGGGAGTGTGGGTGTGAACCCCGACATGTGTAGTTCCCTGCATGTGCTGTGGTCACAGGGCTCATGTTGAAGCTCTCCTGGAATAATCTGCCATGGAAGATGGGAACGTGGATTCTGTCTTCTTTGTATAGCATGAAATTGTTAAACCTATGACGATAGTGACACCGAAGAGTCACGTGTCCTCCTCGAGGCACCACAGCGCTGGGCCAGGCAGACAGGAAGGGCTTGTCCTGACCACCTGGGGGAGAAGGAGGCACTGCCTTAGAGAGGAGGATGTGGAGCCGCCCCTCACTCCCAGTGCCCAGAAGATTCTCCCCATTTCCACTTTCTAAGGCTCCTACCACACCTGGGTGCCCAGGGCTACAGGAAGGACCCATCCTGCATAGACATGGCGTCTCCCTACAACAAGTGTCAGCTGAGAACTTTGAGCAAGTGCTGGAGAAGCAACTCTTACTAGATTTTAATACTGCAAAATTACTCATATAAAACAACACAAAGTAGACACGGCATGGAGGGCAAGTCCTATGTGAATGGAATATCAGCCAATTGATGAACTGAGCCCCCATCAGAGGATTTGGAATGTCAGGGCCATGGCTGTGGTTTCCTCACCTTTTCTGGTAGAAAGACCACAGCCACACTGCAGCCCCTACCATCACGGAAACGCTGGAGGGTGTGAGTTACACCTTTGTCCTCAGAGGACCTGCTGTTCCTAGCACTGCTTCCCTCTCTTTCTCTGCTGCTGACACCACTTCCTCCCTGCACACCCATCTTGGAGCACCCTAGTCTCACCCCAGTCTTCACAGAGCTTGACTCAGGAAAGGGAAAGAAAGGCCGGGGAGGGCAAGGTCAGAAATGTGGGCCGAGCATCCGAGGGTCCCCTCTTCCTAGTTTATGAGAGACTCCCCGACAGGACTTCCCTCCCATTTCAGGAAAATCCTCTTATGTGGGGAGATGACACCCTAAGGTTTGGGGAAGGACTCACCCACGTGTGGACCGGCCCTCTGGACCAAGAAGAACCCTAGAAAGAAAGATCATGATGGACCATCCATCTGCAGGCAAACCAGGGCACCCTGCTGCCCCCACTGGGCTGTGCGTCTTGGCAGCCAGGCCCTTGCTGGGCTGAAGGTAAACTCACCCTCGCTGCCTACCTGCCCCCAGGAACAAGGATCTCGGCTGTGCAGAGACTCAGCCTCCAGGCCCAGATCTCTACCTCCAGGCCTAGATCTACACAACAGGCCCAGATCTCCACTCCAGGTCCGTATCTCCACTCCAGACCCATATCTCCTCTCCAGGCTGATAAGTCCACTCCAGGCCCATATCTCCACTCCAGGCTCCTATCTCAACTCCAGGCTCATATATCCACTCCAGGCTCATATCTCCACTCCAGGCCCATATTTCCACTCCAGGCTTCTATCTCCTCTCCAGGCCCATATCTCCTTTCCAGGCTTGTATGTCTGCTCCAGGCCCGTATCTCCACCCCAGGCCCATATCTCCACTCCAGGATCATATCTCCACTCCAGGCCCAGATCTCCACTTCATGCCCTTAACTCCACCTCCGGGCCCATAACTCCACCTCTAGGCCCATATCTCCACTCCAGGCCCATATCTCCACTTCAGGCCCATATCTCTACTGCAGGCCCATAACTCCACCTCCAGGCCCATATCTCCACTCCAGGCCCATCGCTCCACTTCTAGGCCCATCACTCCACCTCTAGGCCCACATCTCCCCTCCAGGCCCATCCATATCTCCCCTCCAGGCCCATATCTCCACCCCAGGCACATATCTCCACCCCAGGCCCATATCTCCACTCCAGGCCCAGATCTCCACTCCAGGCACATATCTCCACCCCAGGCCCCTATCTCCACTCCAGGCCCAGATCTCCACTCCAGGCCCAGATCTCCACTTCAGGCCCATAACTCCACCTCCAGGCCCATAACTCCACCTCTAGGCCCATATCTTTACCTCCAGGTCCAGATCTCCATCCCCGCACTCCCTCCCTCGATTCCCTTCCAGGACTCACCAACACACGCCATGCTGACGACCATGAGCAACATGGTGCTGCCGGTGCAGACAGGCGGCCGCGCCCCAGCTCAGCTCAGCAGCGCACAGGATGTTATTTGGCGCCCTGCCCATGCAGTTTACATGTTGACCACATCATGGGAGGGTGACGTACGCAGGCTCTTTCTACCTTGCATGAGGCCCAGTGGGTGCTCGCTCAAGAGCGGAACATGGCTTCCTGGAAATTGCTCTCACTAGAATTGACACCTCGCGTCCTTCACTATGACCAACTCAAAACACGTCTTAGATCCAACCTCCCGAACACGAGATGCCTAAAATCTGTGCTAACATGAAAGACTTTTCATGTATTTTTTTTGCTTTTATCTGAGATTCAAACTCTTCTTCCTGTGTAATATGCAAAATATCTAATAGGTATTATTAAGGTTTTCAGAGCAATTGTGACTAATAAACCATTAGAATTTTTCATGATTGTATTTCTAGTATTACAGCAGAACCAGTTCAAATGATTTAAACTCCCAGGGAAGGATTATGCAATTATTTACAATCTTAGAATTGTACTTTATCAGCAAAAATCACAACATGTAAATTCTGGATTTTTGTAGATTTATCTAGAATTTGTCTCATGTCCCAAGATTCCAGAGTTCCAACTCATGGTTTGCTCTCTCTCTGTCTCTCTGCCTCCCTCATTTTAAATTTTACAGAAATATCCAGTAACATAATGCTATAGAAAATCAATTTCCCCAGCACTTTGGAAGCCGAAGTGAGTGATCAACCGAGGTCAGGAGTTTGAGACCAGCCTGGCCAATATAGTGAAACCATGTCTCTGCTAAAAATACAAAAATTAGCCATGCCTGGTAGCAGGCACTTGTAATGCCAGCTATTCAAGAGGCTGAGCCACGGAATCCCTTGAACCTGGGAGGCGGAAGTTGCAGTGAGCCGAGATCGTGCCACTGCACTCCAGCCTGGGCAACAGAGCGAGACTCTGCCTCAAGAAAAATAAAAAAAGCATAGCAAATAGCCTATAATAAATAACTAGAGGACTCCAGCTACCAAATTTTAGGGGTTGTATAAGGCTGCATAAAATGCAGCATTCTCAAGAGAGTGGACAGAGAGAGAGCCACTGAGCAGAAAACAGTGTCTAAAATACATCCGTGTACACACAGTCCCTTTATAGTTGACAAAGGCTGCCATGTGGTTTAAGGTGGAATAGAATGTCTTCTCAATAAATAACATGGGCCCAAGGGTTACACATGGAGAAAAATATATCTAAAAGTATTCTCACACTATAAAACACTTGTTTATTTTATCTTGTTATTGTAATTTTTTTATGTTTTATATTTAAAATTGAGAAATAAAAATTATATACAGTCATCCCTCACTATTCGTGGGTGATTGGTTTCAGGATCTCCACTCAGATAGCACAATCTGCAGATGCTCAAGCCTCTTACATGAAATGGCACAGCATTTGCAAATAACCCATGCACATCCTCCTGTGTACATGAAATCATCCCTTGATTATTTATAATTCCTGATACAGCCTACACACAGCTTCATTTGTGTCCATTCAACATAGTTTTGCTTTTTGAAACTTTGTGGATTTTTTCTCTGAATATTTTTGATTTATATTTGGTTCAATAAACACCTGTAAATCCCACAGATACAGAGGACCGACTGTATATTTATAGTATGAAAGATGATGTGTTGATATGTGTCCCCGTGGAGATGAGACTGACAAGGCCTATGACTCTACAAATGTTTCATCATGGAATGACTCTGCCAGCTTTCCAGGTCTGCAGAGAGTAAGAATATCACTTGTTCATGTGATTCACGATCCTTGGAACCTCTTATGTGCTGCATCTTTGGATGGAAATTGGAGTCTCAGAGACAAATCAGGCTCCACCCTGCTTCCAGAAGCTCAGAGTCCAGGGGTGAGAACCCAGTGGAGAACAGTTGGAGTTATTTGGACATGGTAATGATAACACTGGAAACTTTCAGCCAAAAAAAGAGTCACCTAAAGAATGAAGGCAGACATGTTTATTTGAAGAGGAGAGAACTACACTGAAATCAAAAAAATTTTATAAGGTTTGCTGATGCCAGAAGGCTGAAAAATAGTCTGAGGAAAGGTGGAACAGCACGAGGGAAGGTGGAACAGCACGTGTCTAAGTGCCGTGTTAATAGAGAGCCTCTTGTATGTTTGGAATTGTGAGTTCCTCAGTGTGATTGCAGCCTCAAGTAGACTAGGAAGTAAGCCAGTTAGGTTGGAGAGGTGGGCAGGGGTCAAGTGAAATAGAGAATTGTGGGCTAAGCAAAGGAGTGTGTTTTCTCTGCAGCAGGCAGTGGGGACCTTAGACATTGGTAAGCAAGAGACAGGCACCAGATTTGTGGTGTGAGGAAGAGTGATGCTCTAAGATGGAGACTCACGCCTTCAGATTCCAGCTGCTGGTACATTAGAGCTGGCAAGCTGGGTTTGAGACAGGGCTGTTGTCTCCCTAGAAGATCCCATCAAGGCCTGACTGTGGTGCTCATGGGCAGGAGATAACGCTCTGGGCTCAGCATTTGGAAGTTCTATACACACGCTGGTATCTGTTGAGGGTCTCTTGCTCCTCTGAGAAGGGCCAGTGATTTTTCTCTGTGTGAAAATGCAGTGATCCAACTGTGCGTATGTCACCTCCTGAGGGTCTTGTTCATCAGAGTCCTGGAGAGAGGGAAATCCTGAGTGAGGGAGGGTGTTCACATTTTTCAGGACTATTAGGGAATAAGACTGTATCCATGAGGCTGGGCTAGGAGGACCTACCTCCCTGTTCACTGTTCTGTGTCCCGCAGGCTCTTGGTTCATTACAGCAGCATCTGTAGGAGACGGAAGCAATCAAAACAGCTGGGAGGGCACTTCTGGGTCCTCATTTCATGAA
This sequence comes from Homo sapiens, assembly GCF_000001405.40. Taxonomy (NCBI): domain Eukaryota; kingdom Metazoa; phylum Chordata; class Mammalia; order Primates; family Hominidae; genus Homo; species Homo sapiens. The sequence goes on along the minus strand of NW_003571060.1, from coordinate 717,992 downwards.
CAGATACCAACACACAGGGGGAGGCCATAGGTGCCTGAGGTCCCTCAGCTGCCAACAGCCAGACTCAGACATTCCATCTCTCTGAGTGCAAGACCCCATTCCATGAATAGCTGTCAGTTCCCATCCCATTGATTCTATCTCCCACTTTCTGCCTGTCATGGAATCTTCTCCTGGATGTGAGTGGCTGCAGGGGACGTGAGGATACAGTTCACAATCAGGCAATGGTCTGTGAGCTGAAGGCAGGGGCAGGGTGTCTGGTGCTCTCTCTAGAAAGCTCTGCCTCTGGCTCCTGCCTTGGGCCAGAGACTTTCCTGCCAGTGAGGAACACACACCTGCGTGCTCCCATCCTGCTTCCGCACAGGGCCCTGAGTTCTCTGGCCTCTGCTTCGTGAGGCTTACTTTTTTTTTTGGAGCACCAGCGATGAAGGAGAAAGAAGGGAAGGATGGTGAAGAGGATGATGGCCACTGAGTACCTAATCACAGCATGCAGGTGTCTGGCGATACCTGGAGGAAGATGAGAATCCAATAAGAAGCTAACCATAGCAGTTCCTCTTTGTGGATTGTCTCTCATTTCTTGGTTGCCAGGCAACCACATAAAACACCTCTTTAGGACAAGCACCCACGAGGCGGGAGACCCAGCTTTCTCCTGCTTTCTCCGTTATAGTTTTCATAATAACAATAGAATGTGCTGATGATACAACTGCTATTGTTTCAATGTTTGACCCCTCCAAACCCCACTTTGAAATTTAATCCCCAGTGTGGGAGGTTGTGCCTATTGGGAGGGGTGTTTTGGTCATGGGGGTGGATCCATCATGAATAGATTAATGCTGTCCCCAGAGGACGGGTTTAGCAAGTTCTCCCTCTATTAGTACCCTGGAGAGTTGATTCTTAAAAAGAGCTTGGAAGCTCCATCACACCCCCTTTCTCCCTCTCTTGCCATGTGATCTCTGTGGTCTCTGCACACGCAGGACCCCCTTCTCTTCTGTCAGTGTGGGAGCAGCCTGAGGCCGCAGCCAGAAATAGATGGTAGTGTCCTGCTTCTAGTACAGCGTGCCGATCAGTGAGCCAAACACATCTCTTTTCTTTAGAAGATACCCAGGCTCAAGTGTTCTTTTATAGCAACAAAAATAGGCTAAGACAGCAACATCCTGAGATCAGGAGGAACGTCTCAGAACAGCCTGGGCTGTCTTCCTGTTCTTCCTGGAGGAGAACATCATGCAGTGCTTTAGCTGAGTGTTCCCTGTGGCTCCAGGGTACAAAACCCAGGCTGGGCTGCTTTCTGGCTTCCCCCAGCTACAGTGCACATGAAGTGACTCCATGTGTCCTGAGCAGTTTTTCTGAGCCTTGAGGGACTGGCTCACCCTGAAAGGAAGGTTTCTGTTGTCACTCGCTGCTTATCTATAAGTAATGAACCTGCCTATGTAATGTATTCCCTGTGTGTTCTGTCTCCCTGGAGTGATGGTGAGTGATAGAAATTGGCACAGGCCCAGGTGCAGTATGGGAGGTGTTTAGAGTCTTCTCTGGGAAGACTGGACTGGGATTGATACACAGTGAATGTGCTTTACAGTTTCTACATCCACAACCCTCTTGACTCAAACAAATTACATTCTCCAAGAAAAGGAAAAAACAGTGACATTGAAATCAACATAAGTGAGGTTGAGCTGTCTTATATCAAACAGCCAGGAAATAATGATGAAGCTCGTGGGCAACATGCTACTTTTGTCATCTTGGGAGTCAGATATTAGGCTGCTGTTCCACCCGAGAGTCTGGGGGAAAGACCACCCCCTCCATCATCTGTTGCTTCAATACAGCCTGTCTTTCTGTGAATTACTCCAAAAGGTGACCAGGAGATAGTGCTGGCACTGGTCTCTGAGTCTACGATCTGAACTCCAAAGAATATTAGTTTTTACCTCCCCATGATCTATCTGTATCATTAATGTGATTGGAAGTAGGGGTGAGGTGGGGGATTTGGGTGAAGGGGCAAGTTTTGTGCCATGAACAGATCACGTTCTCTATTCCAGGACCTGTGCTGGTGGGTTTCACATTTTCCATATGATCTCATGCTCACAGAAAGCCAAATAAGGAAGATGTTTTCGCCTGATTTTCTTATGGATAGGATAAAGGATCAAAGAAGTCATTATAGAGAAATAGAAAAATGATGATTGGAATTGGTGTGCCTTTGTCATTCGTGTATGTTATATTATATTTATGTATTCTTTATTTTTATTTTTTGCCATGGAGTCTCACTCTGTCACCTAGGGTGCAGTGCAATGACGCGATCTTGGCTCACTGTAACCTCTCCCTCCCTGGTTGAAGCCATTCTCCTTCTTCAACTTCCTGAATAGCTGGTATTACAGGCACGCGCCACCACCCCCAGCTAGTTTTTGTATATTTTGTAGAGATGGGGTTTCACCATGTTGTCCAGGCTGATCTCGAACTCCTGATCTCACTTGATCCAGCCTCCTCAGCCTCCCAAAATGTTGGGTTACAGGTGTGAGCCACCGTTCAGAACCTTGTGTGTTATATTATAATAGGTCTCTTCCTTTGCACCACCCCTCATGTATCTCTCACTCCTCTGCCAAGTATTGATTTACATGTAGGAAAAATAAATCTCAGAAAGAAATCAATGAAGTGAAGATTAAACAATTAGGAAAAATCAAACCAGGCAAGCCCTCCCTGCAAATTACTCTACCTCACAAACACATCTTGTGTCCATCTTTCATTCATTTAGTGTCTAAATCAGCACCACATTTCACCAGGGGGGCGGGAATTGCCTTTTCCACAGTCTCCTAGATTCCAGTTATGCACCTGGGCCTCCCTTATTTTCATGTCAGTCACTATTCATCATGTAGGGATTCCCAGTTAGCCCCGAGGTAAGTCCAATGGCTGTGAGTATCAAACACACGCTCCTTGTTCCTCCTTAGTTTCCTGTGTACCCAGAGTGCTCTCTGTCTCTCCACAGTCGTCTTGTCATTCTCCCCATGTCATTCCCAGCATTTCAGGCAGAGCCTCTTCCTTCCACATAACATTGTTTTCACCTTTGTGCCTTCACGGCTGACAGCTGTGTGGAAAATCCTTCCGCCAATCTTCCAGGGGTTGATCTATTTTTTTCATTAAGGTCACAAGTATTATTTGATCAGTGAGAACTTCTCTGTCACCCGAAATTATACACTCAGCATTATCTATTATTTCTTTTAAAATACGGCTCGGCGCCTTGGCTCACGCCTCTAATCTCAGCACTTTGGGAGGCTGAGACGGGCGGATCCCTTAAGGTTGGGAGTTTGAGATAGCCTGGGCAACATGGTAAAACCTTGTCTGTACTAAAAAAAAATACCAAAAAAAAATTAGCCAGGCGTGGTGGGACATGGGTGTAATCCCAGCCTCTCGGGAAGCTGAGTGTAGAGAATCGCTTTAACCTGGGAGGTGGAGGTTGCGGTGAGCCGAGATCCCGCCACTGCACTCCAGCCTGGGGCACAGAGGGAGACACCGTCTCATAAAAACAACCAATCAATCAATCATTCTCATGCACAGATGCTTCCCAATGGATCATTCATTTATTGGTCCACTGGTGTATTCATTTTCTGCCCTCCCATTTAATCCTTTGCAATATCAGTGTCCAAGAGCAGAGGCCAAATGCACCTTGTTTACCATTTGTGGAAAGGATAAGAATGCCGCCCCACCCCAAAATGTTCCTGTCCTAGTCGCCATATCTTGTGAATATGTTATTTTACATGGAAAAAAGGAATGCAGATTGCAGATGGAATTACGGTTGCTAATCAGCTAACCTTAAAAGGAGGGTATCCTAGATGATTTTAGGGAAATTATGATGGATTATCTTGGTGTTTCCAATAGAATGCCAAAGTCCTTAAAAGATGAGGAAGAAGGCAGAGCAGCATTCAGAGAAAGAGGTGTGGACAAGGAAGAAGGGTCTGAGTGATGCCGTGTGAGAGGCGTGACCAGCCTTTGTGGACTTTGAGGGAGGAAGACGGGGACCAGGAGCCAAGGAATGTGGGAGCCTCTAGGAGCTGGGAAAAGTGAGGAAGCAGATTCTTGCCTGGAACATTCAGAGGGAAGGCAGCCTTGCTGTCACCTTGATTTTAGCCCAGTGAGATGATGCATTTCATACTTCTGAGCTACAGCACCATGAGATATTTTTTAAAAATGTGGTTTCCATCCACGAAGCTTGTGGAAATTTGTTATGGCAACATAGGAAAAAGTTCCACACTGCACAGTCTGAGCATGGGGCAGTGGCTGAACGAGTAAGTGGAAGTGTCATGTGCACGGATGAACTACGTTCTCTCTTACCGCAAAGCTCTTGTTCCACTAAGTCAACCAGGGTTGGATCATGACAGACAGGAGCTCATTCCTTGGCAAGTAGAACTTCTCTACAAACACACCACCCTCAAAAATGTTCCCCTTCCTTCCCCTTCTCAAGCCCCCAGGCATTTGTCCTCCCAGTTAGGAATGCAGGCAGAACAAACACAGCATTTTTCCTGAGAAGAATGTCTGATTTGCACTCATCCTTCTACCCTGAGGTCTCAGCAGCAGAAAATTAGAGATTAAGAGATTTCACTGAGCCCTGTGCTGGGCCCAGATCCCTTTCGCTGTTGGAGTGTCTGGGGTTCAGAGACAATGGAAGACAGGCCCACAATCACAGAGCTGGCAGGTGCTGAGCCAACGCTTGAATCCAAGGCTTCTACCTCCCCAGGTTTCCAAAAGCAGAGATAAGAGGGGTCCTTCACTTACCAGTTTTGAAGCTTGGTTCAGTGGGTGAAGGCCAACTACTAGAAGGGTTTCCTAGAACATGGGACAGGAGAGAGGTGTGGCAATGAGGATGCCTGTCTTTTCTACTCAATGGAAATCTTTGAGGTTGGTTCATGGCCAACCTTCTATTATCTAATGTTGGGCCCTGGGAGTCCTGGCATCCCATTCTCCATAATCATTGTAGGTGACACCAACTATCTTGAGACTTCAAGGTATAAGGAGAAAACAGGAGCATCACACTACCTGACTTAAAAATATGTTACAGAGCTGTAGTAAGCAAAACAACATGACATTGGCATAAAGAAAAGCACATAAAACAATGAAGCAGAATGAAGAACACGGATGTAATCCACCCATTTACATCCAATGGACTTTGACAAAGGTTCGAAGAATCTACAATCTGGAAAGGACAGTCATTTCAATAAATGGTGCAGGGAAAACTGGATATCTACATGCAGAGGGATGAAACTGCACCTCTACCTCTCACCATACACAAAAATCAGATGAAAATGGATTAATGACTTAAGACCTGAATCCATTAAATGTCTAAAAGGAAACACTGGAGAAATGCTCCAGGACATTTGTCTGAGGGAAGACATTTTGTTTAAAACCTCAAAAACACAAGTAATCACAACAACAACAAAAAAAATAGACCATTGGGATTATATCAAATCAAGCAGCTTCTGCACCGCAAAGGAAGCAACCAATGAAGTGAAGAAGAGAAAACCCACAGAATGGGAGCAAATATTTGCAAACTATGCATCTGAGATGGGATTAATAACTAGAATATAAAAGAAGCTCAAACACCTCAATAAAACTAATAATTTAATTATAAAATTAGTAAAAGACCTGAACAGACATTTCTCAATGAACAAAACATACAAATGAACATATATACATTGCATATATGAAAAAGTGCTCAGTATCACTAATCATCAGAGAAATGCAAATGAAGTCACAATGAGCTATCATCTCACCCCATTACAATGGGTTTTATCTCAGAGACAGACAAAACAAATGTTGGCAAGGTGGTGGAGAAAGGAGAACCCTGATACACTGTTGATAGGAATGTAAATTAATACAGCCATTACAGAGGAGAAGAATATGGAAGTTCCTTAAAAACTGAAAAGAGATTAGGCACTGTGGCTCACGCTTGTAATCCCAGCACCTTGGGAGGCTGAAGTGGGCAGATCACTGGAGGTCAAGAGTTCGAGACCAGCCTGGCTAACATGGTGAAACCCCGTCTCTACTAAAAATACAAAAATCAGCCAGGCTTGGTGGCGGGCACCAGTAATCCCAACTACTCGGGAGGCTGAGGCTGGAGAATCACTTGAATCCTGGAGGTAGAGGTTGCAGTGAGCCCAGGTGGTGCCATTGCACTCCAGCTTGGGCAACAAGAGTGAAACGCTATGTCAAAAAAACAAAAAGCATAAAACAAAACCTAAAAAGAGAACATCCAGAGGATCTAGCAATTCCACTAGTGGGTGTAAATGCAAAGAAAAGGACTTCAGTGTATTGAAGTGACATCTGCACTCCCATGACTGTTCCAGCACTGTTCACAGTAGCCAAGATGTGGAGTCAACCTACCTGCCCATCAGTGGATGAATGGATAGAGAGAATGTAGTACATACACACAATGGAGACAACTCATCCATAGAAAGAGTAACGTCCTGTCATTTGCAGCCACATGGATGGACTAGAGGTCATTACAAGGATTGCCATTTCTTACTCACATGCAGGATGTAAAAGGTGGACCTCATGAAGGTAGAGAGTAGAATGGTGGATACCAGAGGTTAGGAAGGAAGGGGTGGAGGGTAACAAAAGAAGAATATAAAAGTATTTATTTATTTATTTATTTAGAGACAGAGTCTCTCTGTGTCACCAGGCTGCAGTGCAGTGGCATGATCTCAGCTCACTGCAACCTCCTCCTCCTGGGTTTAAGCCACTCTCCCGCCTCAGCCTCCCAAGTTGCTGGGATTATAGGCGCCTGGCACCATGCCTGGCTAATTTTATTTTTTTTGTCTTTTTAGTAAAGATTGGTTCCCCCATGTTGGCCGGGCTGGTCTCCAGCCCCTGATTTTAAATGATCCACCTGCCTTGGCGTCTCAAAATGCTGAGATTACAGGCGTGAGCCACCGCACACAGCATATAAAGGTATTTATGATCCCTAGATTTTACACTTAAAAATGGTAAAGTTGATAAATTATATAGGTATATTTAACCTCAATCAGCATTTTTTCAAAGGAAAAGAAAAAGTGTAGGGGTTGCTGGTGATGACATCTCTGTGTAGGTGAGAGGCCAGGGTGGGCTTCTGGGAAATGGGTAAGGTTGAGGGGCTGAGGGAACCTCTGATCTCCCCAAACTGAGCCCAGTCTCCCTCCTCTGGGTCTGTCCTGACCACTTTCTCCATCTGCCTGGGTACCCGGAGCCCTTACTGCAAGCTTCCATGCAGGCCATGCAGGAGGGTTTGGAGGTGCCCTGTCTGCCATCCTGTGCCCTGATCCCACCCTCACACCATGCTGCATCTTCTCTCCACATCTGTCCATGCTTCTCTCCATCATCAGCAGGAAGCTCCTCAGCTAAGGCTCTAGGACCATAGGACATGGGACAGACATTGGCTTTCCTCACCTGTGACAGAAACAGGCAGTGGGTCACTCGCGTCTGACCACTCGTAGGGAGATCCATGGAAAGAGCCGAAGCATCTGTAGGTCTCTCCGTGGGTGGCAGGACCCAGAGGGAAGTCGGCCTGGAATGTTCCATTGATGCTGGGCACTGCAGGGAGCCTAAGTTCATGGGCTTCCCCCTCCCTGGATAGATGGTAGATGTCAAAGGAGCTCTGGGAGCTGCAGGACAAGGTCACGTTCTCTCCTGTGCGAACCGTGGGGCCCGGCCGGGCTGTAAGCGAAGGTTTCTCATATAGACCTGGAAGGAGAAGAGGCAGTTTCCTCAGGGAGGTTCTTCCTTGTCACAGCTCCCCTCCCACCTGAGCTGAGAACTCACTGCCCTGCTCTATGGCCTAGTGCTCTCTCTCTCTCTCTCACCCTCCACCCCCAACTCTTCCTGTCGATCCCTCCCTATGTGGTTCCAGCCTGGTGGTGGCATCAGCAGTGCACCCTTGCTGATCTCAGGGTAGCCAACCTTCTTGTTTGGTTTTTTAACTTGTCCTTCACCTGGGTTCCTGTGTTGGTTTCCTGTTGTTGCTGGAGAAAATTATCACAAACATGGCGACAGGAGAGAACACACTGACCCCTTCCACTTCTGGAGACAGAAATCAGACCCTGTTCTTCCTGGGCTACAATCAATGCATCTGCAGGGCTGCATTCCCTCTGGAGACTCGGGAGAATCAGTTCCATTGATTTCTCCAGCCCCTTCGTGGCTCGTGGTCTTCCTCCACCTTCAAAGCCCACAGTGGCTGGTGGAGTATCCCACGATGCTGCTCTAATCCCCATTCTCCTCTTCCTTCTCCACTCATATGGACCCTTGTGATTACACTGAGCCCAGTGGGAGAGTCCAGGCCATCTCCCCATCTCAAGGTCAACTCATCAACAACCTGAGCTCCATCTTCCCCTTCAGTCCCCTGCCCTATAACATAGTCACAGGCTCCAAGGATTACAATGTGGCCATCGATGGGGACAGTTATTCTTTCCAACACAGCACCCATTCCCCTGTATTCAATCCCCCTTTACCCCAAATATAGTTGGGGCCTGGATGATCGGACTCTGGTGGACACCCCCACCAGAAGCTCTGGGACTCAGGAGGTGGGACAAGGAGAAGCCCAGACAGGAGCCCTCTGACCTGTGACCATGATCACCAGGGGGTTGCTGGGTGCCGACCACTCAGTGGGGGAGTGCGGGTGAAAACCTCGACATCTGTAGGTCCCTGCGTGTGCTGGGGTCACAGGGCTAATGAGGAAACTGTTCCAGAATATTCTGTTGTAGAGCTCAGGGACAGGGACCCCATCTTTCTTGTACAGCGTGAAGATGTTAAACCCACGACGATAGTGACACCGAAGAGTCACGTGTCCTCCTTGAGGCACCACAGCGCTGGGCCAGGCAGAGCAGAAGGGCTTGTCCTGACCACCTTGGGGAGAAGGAGATGCCGCCTCAGAGAGGAGTATGTTGAGCTGCCCCTCCCTCCCTGTGCTCAGAAGATTCTCCCCATTTCTTCTTTCTAAGGCTCCTACCACACCTGGGTGCCTGGGGCTACAGGAAGGACCCATCCCGCATAGACGTGGCGTCTCCCTACAACAAAAGTGTCAGTTGAGAACTGAGCAGGTGCTGAGTAAGGGACTCTTACTAGATTTTAATACTGCAAGATTAGTTACACCAAACAACACAAAGTAGACATGGGGTGGAGGGTATGACCTTTGTGAATGGAATATTAGCTAATGCCTGAACCACAATAAACAACTGAGCTCCATCAGAGGATTTGGAATGGCAGGGTCGTGGCTGTGGTTCCCCCACCTCTTCTGGCAGAATGACAGCAGCCACACTGCAGCCCCTACCGTCATGGAAACGCTGGAGGGTGTGAGTTACCCTCTTGTCCTCAGAGGACCTGCTGTTCCTAACACTGCTACCCTTCCCTCCTCTGTCGGTGACACCACATCCCCCCACACACCCCAGCTTTGAGCACCTCAGTATCCCGCCTGGGCCACACAGAGCTCAACTCAGCCATGGGGAAGAAAGGCTGGGGAGGGCTAAGACAAAACAGAGGGCTGAGCATACCAGGATCTCCTCTTACTAGTTCATGAGAGACTCCCAGGATCTCCTCTTACTAGTTCATGAGAGACTCCCAGGATCTCCTCTTACTAGTTCATGAGAGACTCCCAGGATCTCCTCTTACTAGTTCATGAGAGACTCCCCCCAGGCCTTCCCATGGTCAGCCCATCAGCCCACCCTCTGTGCTGCCTCCCTCCCATTTCCGGAAAATTCACTTGTATTGGGGTGAAGATGGCAACCCATCATTTGGGGAAGGACTCACCCACGTGTGCCCACACACTCTGGTCCAAGAAGAACCCTGCAAAGAAAGATCATGATGAACTATTCATCTCGGCACCAACCTACCCTTTCCTCCTGAGCCACTGGGCGCCACGCTGGACTGAAAATTAACTCATCCTCACCACTCACTTGCTTCAGAACATGGCTCTCTGCTGGGGAGACACCCAATCTGCAGGCCCATAGTGTAACCCTGGTGCTCCTTCCCTTCCAGGACTCACCAAGACATGCCAGGATGATGACCGTGGGTGACATGGACATGGTGCAGCTTCTGCTGCCAGGACGCAGTGACTCGGCTCGACTGACCGGTGCAGAGGATGTGGTGAGGGGCCCGGATCGTGCAGTTGACACATTGACCACAACATGTGAAGGGGACATAGGTAGGCTTCTTCTACGTCATATGAGGTTCAAGTGGTGAGTCAGTCAAGGGAGGAATGAGGGTTTCTGAAAACTGCAGACTAGACTTGTCAGTTCACATCATGCGCAACGGCCAGGCTCAAAACACATCTCAGACTCACTTACCCCTGCACGGGACGATTGAATTCTGCACTCACATGAGGAACTTTTGATGTATTTTTTTTTGTTTCTACCTGAGATTCAAACTCTCCTTGATATGTAATATGCAAAATACCTAATAGGTTTTATTAACACTATAGAGCAATCGTATTAAATAAATCATCATAATTTTCCATGGTTGTATTTTTCCTGTTAAGCCAGAAACAGATAAAATGATTTAAATCCCAGTAGAAAAGACTATATAGTTATTTCGCATCATAGAATTCCACCTTATTAGCAAAAACACAATATGTCAATTGAAGGTCTGGTCGTGTTATCTAGAATTTGTCTTATGACACAAGAGTCCAAATTCACAGTTCCCTGTCTCCCTTTTTGTCTCTCTGTAACGTGTGCTTTTTTTCTCCCTGTGTTGTTTGTGTGTCTTTCTTTCTCTCTCTCATTTGAGGAAAAAATATCAGACTGATAACATCCTCCAACTTGATACTGGAATATTGCAATAACTGAAGGTTGAAATCTACACATTTAATGTGCTGTCATTCTTACAAATGTCTCTTATTTACACCTACCTTTCTGGAGTTTGTAAGAACTTTTTCACTATGCATTTTAAATTTGTAAAACTCATAATTTTTAAAAAGGGATGGGTCTCACTGTTTGCCCAGGGTGGCCTTTACTCATTCTATAAGGCTGGCATCACCCTGATACTAAAGACAGAAAAGAATATTAAACAAAAGAAAACTACATGCCAATATTCCTGATGAGCATAGATGCAAAAATCCACAAAAAATACTAAGAACTGAATCCCGCAGCATATCAAAAAGTGAATCCACCATGATCAAGTCAACTTTATTCTTAGGGTGCAAGGTTGGTTGAACATACACAATCAATACATGTGATTCATCACCTAAACAAAACTAAAAACAAAAACCACATGATCTTCTCAACACACATGTAGAACATACTTTTTACTAAGCATTTCTTCATGTTAAAAGCCCTCAACAAGCTAAGCATTGAAGAAACATAACTCAATATAATAAGAGCCGCCTATGACAAACCCACAACCAACATCATACTGAATGAGTAAAAGCTGGAAGAAGTTCCCTTCATAAGTGAAACAAGACAAGAATGCCCACTCTCACCATCCTATTCAACATAGTACTTGAAGTCCTAGACAGAGCCATCAGGAAAGAGAAAGAATTATAAGGCATCCAAGTAAGAAGAGAGTAGCAGAGAGAGGTAGTCAAATTACCTCTGTTTGAAGATGAGATAATTTCTATACCTAGAAACCCCATAGTCTCTGCCCAAAGGCTCCTACATCTGAGAAACAAACTTCAGCACAGTTTAAGGGCAGAAAGTCAATGTACAGGCTGGGTGTGGTGTCTCAGCCTGAAATCTAGCACTTTGGGAGGGCGAAGCGGGTGGATCACCTGAGGTCTGGAGTTCGAGACCAGCCTGGCCAACATGGCGAAACCCTGTCTCTACTAGAAACACAAATATAGCCGGACGGGGTGGTACGCAACTGTAGTCCCAGCTGCTTGGGAGGCTGAGTCAGGAGAACCGCTTGAACCTGGGAGGCAGAGGTTGCAGTGAGCGGAGATCACGCCATTGCACCTCAGCTTGGGCAACAACAGTGAAACTGCGTCTCAAAAAAAAAGCCAAAACAAATTTAATTAATGAGGAAAAGGGTATTTGTGGTGTCCATCATGATGTTTTCATATAGGTACACATTGTGGAATGGATGAAACAACCTCTTTATCTATTTATTTTTTCACATACTTGTATGTTTTGTGTGTGTGGTGAGAACATGTAAAATCTAATCTCTTAGTAATGTTCAATACACCATATGTTGCTATTAAATGGAGTCACCAAGACATACAATAGATCTCTTGAACCGATTTCTTCTAACTGAAATTTTGCATCCTTTGACCAACATCTCTTCAATCTCTCTCCTTCCCAGGTTCTTTCGACGACCATTTTACTGTTCCTCTAGGTTCCACTTCTTACACTCCACACATGAGATCATGTGGCATTTGTCTTTCTGTGCCTGGATTGTTTCCCTTAACATAATGTCCTCTAAGTTTTTTCACATTGTCACAAATGAGAGGACTTCCTTCTTTGTTGTAAAGGTTGTATAGTACTTCATTACGTTCCTATCGTATACCACGTTTTCTTTGTCCATGCACCCATAGATGGGCAGTAAGGGTGATTCCACATCTTGGCTGTTATGAATAATGCGGCTGTAAACATGGGAATGCAGATATCTCTTCAACATACTGATTCCACTTCCTTTGGATACATGCGCAGTAGTTGGATTGCAGACACATATGGGAATTCTATGTTTAATTTTTTCAGGAACTTCCAGACTGTTTTCCATAATGGTTGTGCTAATTTACATTCCCATCAACTGCATACAAATGTTCCCTTTTCTCCACATCCTCGTTAATGCTTGTTATTTTTTATGTTTTTGATAATGGTCTTTTTTTTTTTTTTTTTGAGACTCAGTCTTGCTCTGTCACCCAGGCTGGAGTGCAGTGGCACAATCTCGGTGTACTGCAACCTCTGCCTCCTGGGTTCAAGCGATTCCCCTGCCTCAGTCTCCAGAGTAGCTGGGACTACAAGTGTGCGCCACCAAACTCTGCTAATTTTTGTATTTTTAGTAGGGATGGGATTTCACCATATTGGCCAGGCTGGTTTCGAACTGCTGACCTCAGGTAATCTCCCTGCCTCGGCCTCCCAAAGTGCCTGAATTACAGGCATGAGCCACCATGCCCAGACTGTTAATGGTCATTCTAAGAGGTGTGAGGTGATATCTCATTCTAGTTTTAATTTTTATTTAGCTGATGTTTAGTAATGCTAATCATTTTTTCATATACCTTTTGGTGATTTGTCTTATTCTTAGAAATGTTTATTCAGATACTTTGCCCATTTTTTTAAGTTGGGTTATTTGATTTCTTACCATTGAGTTGTTTGAGTTTCTTATATATTTTGGATATTAATTCCTTATTAGATGTATGGGTGCAAATATATTCTCCCATTCCATAGGTTGTCTTTCCACTTGTTGAGTTTTTTTTTTTCTTTGCAGAAACTTTCAATTTGATATAATGTTATTTGTCTACTTTTGCTTTTGTTGCCTGGGCCTTTGGGTTAATATCCAAAATGGTTTTGCCCAAGCCAGTGGAGTTTTCCCTTGATTTCTTTTAGTAGTTTTTTTTTTTTTTAAGATGGAGTCTCACTCTGTTGCCCCGGCTGGAGTGCAGTGATGCGATCTCGGCTCACTGCAACCTCTACCTCCTGGGTTCAAGTGATTCTCCTGTCTCAACCTCCCGAGTAGCTGAGATTACAGGCACCCACAACCACACCCAGCTGTTTTTGTATTTTTAGTAGAGGCGGGATTTCACCATGTTGGCCATGCTGGTCTTGGAATCCTGACCTTAGGTGATCTGCCCGCCTTGGCCTCCCAAATTGCTGGGATGATAGTCTTTCACCTTACATTTAAGTCATTAATCTATCTTGAGTTGACTTTGTATGTTTTGTGAGGCAAATGTCCACTTCCATTCTTCTGCATGTCTCCCAATCCCATTTATTAAAGAGACTGTTCCTTCTCCATTGTGTGTTCTTGATACATCCCAAAAATTGTTTGACCCTAAATGCGTGCATTTTTTTTCCTGGGCTATGAATCACTTCCATTGGTCTATGTGTCTGTTTTTATGCAAGTACTGTGTTGTTTTAATTACTGTAACTTTGTAATGTAGTTTGTGTTTAGGTAATGTGATGCTTCCAACTTTGTTCCTTTCCCTCTAGATGGCTTTGGTTATTTGAGATCTTTTGTGGTTCCACATGAATTTTAGGACTGTTTTTTCTATTTCTGTAAAAAAAAATGTCATTGGATTTTTGATAATGGTTGCATTGAATCACTTTGGATAGAATGGACATTTTAACAACATTAATCCTTCTGATCCGTGAACATGGAATATCTTTCGATTTATTTGTTTATTTCTTGAGTTTTTTCATCAATGTTTTATAGCTTTTGCATACAGATCTTTCTACTCCTTGGGTGAATTTATTCCTGCATGTTTTGTTTTCTGTAGTTATTGCAAATGGGCTTATTTTCTTGTAAACTTTTTTGGATAGTTTGTTGTTAATGTATAGAAACTTTGTTGTTGTTGTTGTTGTTGTTGTTTTGATGATACCCATCCTAAGGGGTATGAAATGGCATCTGGTGTAGTTTTAGTTAGTATTTCCCTAATGATTCGTGATGCTGAATATCTTGTCATGCGTATGTTCTTTGGAGAAATGTCTGTTTCAGTACTTTGCCCATTTTTGAATTGAGTTTATTGTGATTGAGTTTTAGGAGTTGTCTGTATATTCTGGATGTTAATCCCTTACAGGTGGTGTGGTTTGAAAACATTTTCTCCCATTCTGTGGGTTGTCTTTTTACTTTGATAATATCGTCTTAAAAGTTCTTTTTCCTTGCCATGTGAAGTAACTGATGTTGTCTTTTGAGTCACAATATTTCAAAATTTTCATAAAGTCTAACTTGTTTATTTTTTCTGTAGTAGCCTGTGCCGTTGTTGTCACATCTAAAGAATCACTGCCAAATCCGATGTTGTGAAGTTTTCCTTTGTGTTTTCTTCTAAGACTTTAATTAAATTTTATTTGTCAATATTTAGGACTGACAAAAGCTTTTTAACATTCCTGGCACCATCTCAGTTATTGATCTACTCCCAAGATGGATCATTTCAATTAAAACATGTAAAGCATGACCTCACCTGAATGTGTTTGAACTTGCTCTTCTCCCTTTCAAATCGACTCCCTCACTTACATAGTTTGTGTTCAAATGTCAACAAATAAAACATAAAAAGAAATCAATCTTTTCATAGACCCTTTATCTAAAATAGAATAGTAGGTGCCATGACATTTCATCCTTTCATCTTGAATTATTTACTTTTCTACATGAACCAATCCATTCTTCTGTGTGCATGTGTGTGTGTGTGTGTGTGTAGTTTATCTGTCTACATATAATGTAAACACCAAAAAATAACAGACATTTAGTAATTTTCAAATGAGACTTCAGGAATTAACAATGGCTTGCCATTTTTAGTGTGTTATTATTATTATATTTAGATGAACAGAATTGCCTCAGGAACATGGCCAGGGGCTCATAGTCCAGGAGAACTGTGGCCTGACTCAGGTACATTTTACCTGCAATAACAGCAATTGCAGGTCACTGGAGTCCATCACAATTGGCTGGAGACAAATGTAAGACAAGAATATTTGCAGTTTCCCCAGACTGACACAGTTGCAGGTTCCCCGAAGTAATGAGTCCTGAGACACCTCCAACAAGAGCTAGAAAAGGTATCACTTCAAGAGGAGTTGCAGCCTACTCATTTTAGACAAATGGAGCAAAATTACAGTATCACATCTTTTCCTTTCTCCTTCATAGAATCTGGATGAACAGAACAGAAAGAGTTAATGGAATATAAGATTCCAATTCTCTGGCATGAGAAAATAGACAAGGAAAGGAAGATTCATCTTCATCACATCTCAGACATGCTTGGACACAGGGTCCAAGCACAAAAGAGAAACACATACTTCTTCCCATCCACACTGGGATCCAGGGTCTTCTCCCTCCTGTCAGGCCAGAACTGAGTCTCCACTCCCCAATTTAGTTCCCAGAGATGAAGCCCAATTTTCCTCTGTCTCAAGCTTTGAAGGCCAGCTTTAGCGTGTTCACCATGGATGAATGAAGGTGAGGTCAGAGGTTTGGGAAATGGTCAAGAATGAGGTGAGAAGAGAGCTGTGGAGGCATGGCCCCGGGGAGCTTGGTACCCCCCCATATCCAGAGCCTGTCTGGTCCAGGAGAGTTCCCAACCCTGTGAGCACCAACTCCGGATATTCTGGGCAGTGACCCGAGGGACAGCCTCTTATGAATACAGGCTGTTTTCCTCCAGTGTCTGCTGTGAAACCAGGATGTACAACATGGCCGTGTTCAACCCAACAATGGACTTAGGATTTTGCTGTACGCCAAAACTCAGTGTCCAACTTCCACTCTGTTTAGCTGGAAAAAGAAGGGGTTTGTTCCCATACATCTCACTCCTGTGTTCCTCTTTCAGTCTCAAAGCTCAGATGAAAACAATGAGTGTCACTTATTGTCAATCCTCTTCCCTGCCTTTTCCACACTCATCAGTATTACCGTTTACATTGAGACTAAAGATGGCCAATCACCACTTTTCTTCGGAAAAATCAACCTGATGTTGTACCTACTTTTTTAGAGGTGGAATCAACCTACCCTAAGATGCCAACTACATTTTACTGAATGGACTTTTGTGGATCCCCTCGATGTATATAGTGGCACCTTGAGGTATCATCCCTGTCTTTAGCAAATGAATATTATCCCAAGGACAATATTTCATCACAATTATTCGGGATGGACGAGTGGATATTGTGGTAGCAAGAACATTACTAAAAGTCACAGCTGATACAACACACTTGAAACCCATCTGGCCAATCTCCCACAGACAGAATGTCGCGCCATTCACTCCAGCCAGCTTCAGTCATGTTTCTTCCATTTCCACCTGTGGCCCCTCATGTCTCCACCAGGTCTTAGCCAGCATTGCCAAAAGAGCCAGGAAGACCAGACCAGCCACAACAATCCTGATGGAACTCTCCACAGTATAGTTCTGGAGAACAGGGGCTGGAGGGTGGGGGTAAGATCAGAGACCTTTCCATGTGGGCCAGGCCCCTCTCTCCCCAGAAGCTCTGAAATGGAGCTATTTCCCCATCTCACCTTCATAAAATTCTTCCTGTCCAGAACCCCTCTTCTCCCTATATCATCATGAGCACCTTCAGAAGTCTTTTGCCACAAAAAGAAATTTCTTTTGAAGATATACATTTTTTTGTACATTTCAAAAATGTTCCCAAACTAATTCTCCAAAGCAATAAATGTTTGTGTGTATTGCTGGGTAGGTTATGCATACAAGGAAAGGAAGCATAGTGAGTCTGATTTGGCAGAGGAAACATATGTGGAAATTATATCATTTACTCTCTTTACAAAATTAAGTACAAAATTGAAAACACTGGTAAGAAAGAATGAGCTATAGAGAAAGAAAACATCTGAGATGCTTGTTTCCAAGATGGCTGACTAAATGCTTTTCTGGCATGTCTCATCCACTTAGAAGAACGAGCAGAATCCAGAACAAAAACCATATGATCATCTCAATAGACATAAAGAAAAGCATCTGAAAAGAAATTCAACATCCTTACCTGATGAAAACCCTCAAAAACTTAGGCATAGAAAGAACATACCTCAAAATAATAAAAGCCATAGATGACATATCTAGAGTCAACATCATACTGAACAGGAAAAGTTAAAAGCACTCCTCTGAGAACTGGCACAAGACAAGGACACGGACATCCACCACTTCCTATCAACATAGTACTGGAAGCCTTGTCAGAGCTATTGGGCAACAGGAAGAATTAAAAATCCAAATTAGAAAAGAGGAAGTAAAATTATTTTTATTTCTGATGCTATGATCTTAAATCTAGAAAATCCTAAAGACCCTGCCAAAAATTCTTATGATTGATAAATGAACTAAGTAAAGTTTCAGAATACAAAATCAATATGTAAAAGCCAGTAGCATTTCTCTACACCTATAATGATCTAGCTGAGAACCAAATCAAGAAGGCAATGCCGTTTACAATAGATACGCAAAATTAAAACACTCAGGAATACATTTAACCAAGGTGGTGAAAGAGCTGTACCAGGAAAGGTGTAAGACACCAATGAAAGCAATTATAGATAATACAAAAAAAAAAAAAGAAAAAAAATCCCACGCTCATGGATCATAAGAATTAATATTGTTAAAATGACCATACTGCCTAAAGCAATCTACAGATTCAGTGCAATTCTTATATGAAAATAGTAACACCAGCTTTCACAGAATTAGAAAAAGCAATCCTAAAATTCATACAGAACCAAAAAAGATCCTAATAGAGAAAGCAATTCTAGGTGAATGTAGAAACCTGGAGGCATCACGCTATCTGACTTCAAACTATGCTCTAAGGCTATAGTAACTTAAATAGCACAGTGCTGGTATAGACACAGAAACAGAGATCAATAGACCAGAATAGAGAGCCCAGAAATACAGCCTCATATCTACAGTGAATAATCATTGACGACGTTAACAAAACATACACTGGAGAAAGATTTCCTTTTCAATAAAAGGTGCTGGGAAAACTAAATAGCCATATGCAGAAGAATAAAACTGGACCTGTATCTGTAATCATACACATAAATTAACTTAAGGTAATTAGCAGCTTAAATGTAAATCCAGAACTATAAAATCACCGGTGGAAACCCAAAGAGAAACTCTTCTGGGCATTGGTCTGGGCAAAGAATTCATCACTAAGACCTCAAAAGCACAGGCAATAAAAATAAAACTAGACCAATGGGACTTAATAAACGAAAGAGCTTCTGCCAAGCAAAGGAAATAGTAGCAGGGTGAACAGACAACCCACAGAATGAATGGAAATGTTTGCAAACTATGCACCCAACAGAGGACTAACATCCAGAATTTCTAGGCAACTCAAACAACTAAACATAACCCCTCAAATAATAGCATTAAAAAGTGGGCAAAGGGATATACATAGACATTTTTCAAAAGAAGACATACGAATGGCCAAACAGCGTATGAACATCACTAATCATCAGAGAAATGCAAATTGAAACCACAATGAGATATCATCTTACAGTAGTCAGAATGGCTATTACTAAAAATGCTGGTGGGGAGTGGTGGCTCACGCTTGTAATCCCAGCACTTTGGGAAGCTGAGGCGGGTGGATCATGAGGTCAGGAGTTTGAGACCAGCCTGACCAACATAGTGAAACCCCATCTCTACTAAATATACAAAAGATTAGCTGGGCATGGTGGTGTGGTTCTGTAATCCCAGCTACTCAGGAGGCTGAGGCAGGAGAATCATTTGAACCTGGTTGGTGGAGGTTGCAGCGCGTGGAGATGGCGGCACTGCACTCCAGCCTGGGTGACAGTGGAAGACTCCATCTCAAAAAGAAAAAAAGAAAAAGTGAAACATATAACAGGTGTTGGCAAGGATGCAGAGAAAAGGAAACTCTTATACACTGTTGGCCGGTATGTAAATTAGTATAGCCTCTATGGAAGACAGTATGGAAATTTGGCAGAGAACCAAAAATAGAAGCACCATTCGATCTAGGGGTCCCGCTGCTGGGTATCTACTCAAAAAATACCTGCACCTGTATGTTTATTGCAGCACTGTTTGCAATAGCAAAGATATGAAATCAATCTAAGTGTCTGTGAATGAATGATTGGATTAAAAAAAGGATGCGTGTATACACAACGAAATACTATTTGGTCATAAAAATAAAACCATGTCTTTTGCAGCAACATAGATGGAGCTGGACGCCATTATTTTACATAAAACCACTCAGAAAGACAAATACCACATCTTCTCACTCTACATGGGAGGGGAGTAATGTGTACATATGGACGTAGAGTGTGGAATGACGGACAGCGGAGGCTAGAAGGCTGGAGGGTGGCGGGACGTGGGTGAGTGATGAGAATTTGCTTAATGAGTACAATGTACGGTATTTGGGTGATGGATATAGTAAAAGTCCTGACTTCACTACTCTGCAACATACTCATGTCACAAAATTACAAGTGTACCTCATAAATTTATACTAATAGAAAAGAAAGTCTGTACACAGTAATCAATTGTGATATGTAGATAAAGTCAATATTAAATTTAAACCAGAATAACTAGTTAAAATGTTGTGTACACAACAGTGAAGAGAGTATTTATCCTCTATGACAGAGGAAACCATCAATATTAATGCACAGAAAAAGCAAATAACTGAAACAAGAAAGAGCAGTTTTGTGACAGGGTAAAAATTGACAACAGTTTTAGAATGCTCCTAACTTGAGTTCCAAAAAGAAAGAACGAGAAAACAGGTCAGAAGCAATCTTTAAAGAGGCAATTGTTGATTATTTGGAGGAAGTAGACACATCCATCAATCCACAGGTTCAAGAAATCCAGTGAATGCCAGGCAGAATGAAGTAAACACACCTCACGTTCAACATTACAGAAAAGCAGCATAAAAGCACAACCAACCCTTAAAATTAGCCAGAGGAAAAGGATCAGCTGGTAAGGATTTATAGGGAGCCAAGCATTGTCTTCCCCACAGAAAAAAGGAAAACATAAGCCAGTAGAATAGCATCTTTACCCAGCTAAGATACCGTCGCCAGCCACCGACAATTCCTTACATAGTACAGTTACTGTCCAAGATCAACGCAGGAAAGAAACAGAACTGAAAGACAAAAGGGCAAAGAAAGCTTTTCTCACTGACCCTAAAGGAAATTCTGATGACCGTGCCTCAAAGATAAAGAAAGTGAAACCAGATGGGGTGTCGAAGATTCTGACAATAACTAAGAGCAGAGGAAGAACTAAAAATATGGCTATGCCAAAAATGAATATGGACCATACGATAGTGTATGAAAACACGCCCCTGTGTAATTTCTGAAAAAGATAGAATTATGTATACCACAAAACAAAACATCATATAAGTAAATACAAACATATGTACTAAATATGCTCTAAAATCCTGTTCTTACACAGGAAGAGTGGAAATATGTTTTTATATTTGCAGTTTAATCTCTGAAATGATTAATTTCAATTTTAAAAATATGTAACAACTTCAGGATGAGTACACCATATATGTATTCCTAAACGACATAGATCAAAAATAGAATGTTTGAAATAGAAAACCACAGAAGTCAGTGGGAAAAAAAGGGAATCAGGAAAACACAACGTAATAATAACAAAAATATGATTGGAAGAACTGCTCAAACATGAACAAAAGATTGTCAGAAAGTCTTACTTTCTAAGGCGAATTGTTTGAAATTTACAAAGGACACATCTCAATGTTAACAATTCATGGAGTTTGAAATTAAACAATGTAGAAATATACCAAGCAATCACTGTTAGAAATGTGGTATAACTATATTAAAATTAGACAAAATTAGTCTTTGGGAAAAATCAGCGGAAAACATTAAGCATAAAATGTAGGAAAAAAGCAGGTAAATTTATAGCATTTTAAATTTACCAGGAATATATAATCAGTTTACACTTAACCACTCCCAGTAATATTCCTGCAAATATACATGGAGGAAGAGTCGCGGAAATAAATGGACAGGTAGGCAAATCCACGGCCACAGTGGGGTGTTTAACACTCCTCTTTTCTCAGTTGTTGATAGAAGTGGTTCAGGCAATTAGAGAGGATTTAGAAAGATAATTGCTGGACCTGACCCAAGGTATAAGTCCACTCCCAACCACAGGACTCACTTTCCTTACAAGCACAAGGGCATTTAGAAATCTCTCTGGATTCTGACCAGCCCTCACCATATGGCAGGTCCATGGACTTCTTGGAACACACCAAGCTCATTCTCACATTAGGGTCATCCCCAATGTCCTAAGTCCATGAAAGTTCCTTTCAACACACTCCCCAGGGCTCACTCCCTCTTGTCTCTAAGATCGGAGTTTAAATGTGATCTCTCTGATGAGGTCTCAGTGAGACGTTCCCTCCTGTACACTCCAAATGACAACGTTCCACGTTCATTCATTTCATTCTGTGCATGGCACTTTCACCAAGTGCTAAGGATTCACTCACTAATTCATACATTCATTCATTCATTCATTCACTCATTCCATCATTCACTCATTCATTCATTCTCTCATTCATTCATTCATGTTCTGCCTCTCTCTCCCACCCCACAGCAATGTGAGCATCATGAACCCAGGAGCTTGGCCGTGCTGTCTACTCCTGGCCATGAAACAGAGAGAACTGATGGTAGGTGTGAAATAAATATTAGATGAATGAGTTAGTGAAGGGGTCATTTACTGGGTGAGCTCAGTTCTCTCTACTCTAATGCCCTCCCTCGGCTGACTTCCCTGAGTTGCCCCCTCGGCTGAGTGAAGTCCCTTCACTGGCAAATGGAACCTCAACCAGTAGCACCTAGGTGGTCTCATACTTTGTTCTTTCCCTCTCCTCTTGCTCCCTAAGGATTATCAATCTCCATGACAGGGCTGGAGAGCAGACAAGCCACACATTCTTTCTGGGGAGAGAGTAACATGGAGTACAAGGCATTCCACATTTAGGAAGAGAACTCAGTTATGGAAGGTCAGAAATGAAAAGTTCCTACAGACCAACACCCAGGTTGGTGGCCACAGCCCTAAATGCTGATGGAGAATCACTGCAAGTCTGTAGGGAAGATGTCTGGCTTGAGGCCACTGAGCGAAGTGGCAGATCCTTCTCAGCCTTCAGTGCTGAGCCTCTGTCCCCTCAGGGATCCACTGACCAATGAGAAGAGCCTCTTCTCATCTCCTGGGATGGAGCTTGGGGCCCCTGGCGAAGGAATGGGCCTGTTTCCACCTGTCATGTTGTCATCTAGCTTGGAAATCCTGCGAGTCCCAGGGAGGCCCTCCCCGAGTCCCCAGAGAAGACTCCCCCACTGAGTCTCCAAGGTGTGGAGAGAGCAAAAAACATCTAGGGTGGAAAATGCCTCCCATCAAGAGACATTGGGGCTCCCCCAACGATGGTTGCATCTGTGCCCCCCATGTGGAAATCACTCTTTGGTGAGAGGTGGGGGCTTCTGGAAATGGGCAATGGCGGGCGGCCAATGCTACCTCTAGTCTTTCCAATCTGAGCCCGGCCTTTCATGCTCCTGAGTCAGCATTGATGCTGTTTACATGTGTCCCAGGTGGGCTTCTGTACAAAGACTGGGAAGTGGTTTATGTGGCCTGTGCTCTATCTGCAAGCTTCAGGTAGGGTTGCAGTTACCACCCCAAACCCTAATGTGATCTGTCTGCCTCGCTCTGTCTGTCTGTCTATGCCTCTTTCTGTATGTTTGCTTTGTGTCTCTTCTGTCCAGCATCTCTGGCTGACACCCCCATGGCCACCCCCTCCATCTGAGGCTCCCCTGAATGTGGCCATTGTAGTCCATCTGAGTCCCACTATTTGGGGAACAGACTGGTTTCCTCACCTGTGACAGAAACAAGCAGTGGGTCACTAAGGTCTGACCACTCGTAGGGAGAGTCACGGAAAGAGCCGAAGCATCTGTAGGTCCCTCCGTGGGTGGCAGGGCCCAGAGGAAAGTTGGCCTGGAAGGTTCCATTGACCTTGGGCACTGCAGGGAACCTAAGTTCATGAGCCTCCCCCTCCCTTGATAGATGGTAGATGTCATAGGAGCTCCGGGAGCTGCAGGACAAGGTCACGCTCTCTCCTGCCTTAACCATGGGGCGCGGCTGGGCTGAGAGAGAAGGTTTCCCACATAGACCTGGAAGGAGAAGAGGCAGTTTCCTCAGGGAGGTTCTTCCTTGTCACAACTCCCCTCCCACCTGAGCTGAGAACTCACTCCCCTGCTCTATGGCCTAATGCTCTCTCTCTCTGTCTCACCCTCCACACCATCTCTCTTTATGTCTATTTCCTCTTTCCACCTTCTCTGTCTCTCTAGGTCTCTGACCTCACTTTCTCACCTCTAGATATGTTTTCCCTTTTTGGATTGTTTTATTCTCTCTGACTCTCCTTGGACTAGTTGACTTGATGTTACTTTTTTTAAATTCTGAGTTTCTCACTTTGTGTCCTGTTCATAACTTTCTGCATATTTCTATCTATTATCTATCGATATATCTATTTATCTATTTGGTGCCTATCTACAAATTCTCTACCTGTCATCTATATCTATATATAATCTATTTATCTATCAATTGTCTATCCAAAAATCATCTATTATCTATATCTATGTATCGTCTCTCTCTCTCTATGATTTCTCTTTGTCTGCCTCTCTATCTCTATGTATTACCTATCTATCTTCATCTTCATCATCTCTATGTATCATCGATTAATCAATGAATGAATCAATCATCATCTATGTATCTATAACCTATTATCTATCATCTACCTATTTATCATCTATCTATATCTATCCATCTATCATCTGTCTTGCTCTGCCTCTCGGTCTCTCTAGTTCTCTTTGGAATCTCTGCAATTCATCCCCACATCTCCATCTTTCTATGTCCTTGTGTCTCTCCCTCAGGACTCTAATTTTAGTGCTTTTCTCTGTTCCCTTCCATTGTTCTCTCCACTTCTCTGCCCTCTTTTCTCCCTCTTTATGTGTCTGTGAGTCTCTCAATCTCCTTCCTCTGGCTCATTCTCTGTGTGTTTATGTCTTTGCTTTTTGGTGTCCCTGATTTTTCTCTGTGTCTCTCAGTGATCCTCTCATATGTGGGGTTATTTGGAATGTGAGCCTCAGAATCCAGTCTGGGGACCGCAAGTTCACACAGTATACAGGGGTTGATGTTCTGGGGCCATGATATCCTGGGACGATTACTCTCCATTGCATGGAAGGCAGAGGTGTCAGAATAAACACGGCATCTGTAGGTGCCAGAAGGCCTGAGGCCACAGGGCCCAACTCAGGCCAGAAATATGGGTGTCCTTGGGTTCTTCTGGTAGAGAACACTTTGTGGAAGTAAAACAGAAATGAAACTTCTAACCTGTGCCAGGTCTCTGAGCAAAGTCAGCATGGAAGGACACCTCTCTCTGGCACATGTCTGTCTGTGTCTCCTTTAACTCTTTCTGTCTTTTCTAACTCCCTGTATGGCCCCTGTGTCTGTCCTCTGTTATGACACCTGGTCTGTACTTGTGTCTCCTGTTTCTCTGTCTCTGTTGGTACAGACCTCACCAAGTTAGTCTCTCTCCATAAGAATACCAAGCTCATCTTCCTTATAACCACCTGGGCCTCCAAGTCGTGGATCATTCACTCTGTGTCCCAGTGACAATGAGAATAATGTCCAGACACTCTCACCTGTAATCACGATGTCCAGAGGGTCACTGGGAGCTGACAACTGATAGGGGGAATGAGGAACAGAACCGTAGCATCTGTAGGTCCCTGCAAGGTCTTGCGTCATGCGACCGATGGAGAAGTTGGCCTTGGAGACCCCATCATGGAGCTCTCCAGTGAGGCGCAAAGTGTCATTAAACTTCCCCTCTCTGTGCAGAAGGAAGTGCTCAAACATGACATCTGACCAACATTGCAGGATGACTGTCTCTTCTGATTTCACCAGGGGACCTGGGTGGGCCAGGAGGGAAGGTTTTCTGTGGACTCCTAGGAAGAGAGGTTGTGACTTTAGAAGGCATCTCTCTTTATCATCCCATCCATGGCACCTAGAATGAGTGAGGCTTCCCCTCGCTGGTGTCTTATCTCTCTCCTTCCTCTCTGTGTCTTCATGTTCTTTTCTGTGCCCATAACTCCTGGTACAGGTCCTTCCATCTGTCTCCCTCCCTCTTCTCTGTCCCTCTGTCTCTAGTAGCTCCTGATTCCCTTGCCGCTGGGCTCAGCCTCATCTCTTGGGCTGTTGTATCTATTTCGAACTAATGTCTTTCCTGCTTCTATGTGGGGGTGGAAGAGGAACCAGGATAGGCTGCACGTCCAGGCTCTTAGCAGACTGGTTCAATCTCTTTTGGACGAATTGGAATCCTTGGCAGAAGGTATGAACTGATCAGTAAGGCAGGCACCAGTGTCCACACACCCTGTTCCTGGTGGGGACTGGGAGCCACTCTTGCCATGCCTGTGCCTTCTCCATGGTGCCAGCTTCCATAGGCTGGCTTCTGGTGCTGGTTTGAGGAGTATCAACCCCTCCCTATGTGGATGGAGCCTGGTGGTGGCATCATCATCCCACCCTTGCTGATCTCGGTGTAGCCAACCTTCTCTTTGTTTGGTTTCTTTAATTAATTAATTAATTTTGGAGTCAGAGTCTCACTCCTTCACCCAGGCTGGAGTGAAGTGGTGTGGTCTAGGCTCACTGCAACCTCTGTCTCCTGGGTTCAAGTGATTCTCCTGCCCTCAGCCTCCTGAGTTGCTAGGATTACATGCACCTGCCACCACGCCCGGCTATCCTTGTGTCCTTTCTTATCTTGTCCTTGACCTGGGTTCCAGTGTTGGTTTCCTGTTGGTGCTGTGGAAAATTATCAGAAGCATGGCAGCAGGAGAGAGCACACTGACCCCTTCCGTTTCTGGAGACAGAAATCGGACCCTGTTTTTTGAGGGCTAAAATCAAGGCATCTGCAGGGCTGCGTTCCCTCTGGAGACCCAGGAGAATCAGTTCCTTGACTTTTCCAGCCTCTATAGGCCACCTGCATTCATGGCTCATGGCCTTCCTCCACCTTCAAAGCTGATGGAGACTTCCATTGCACTGCTCTAATCGCCACTCCCCTCTTCCTTCTCCTCTCATGTGCACCCTTGTGATTACACTGAGCCCAGCAGGACAGTCCAGGCTGTCTCCCCATCTCAAGGTCAACTCAACAACCTGAGCTCCATCTTCCCCTTCAGTGCCTTCCCCTATAACATAAATAGTCACAGACTGCAGGGATTAGAATGCAGTCATCATTGGGGACAATTATTCTTTCCACCACAGCACCCATTTCCCTGTATTCAATCCCCTTTTACCCCAAATACAGTTAGGGTCTGGATGATGGGACGCTGGTGGACACTCCCACCAGAAGCTCTGGGACTCAGGAGGTGGGACAAGGAGAATCCCAGACAGGAGCCCTCTGACCTGTGACCATGATCACCAGGGGGTTGCTGGGTGCTGACCACCCAGTGAGGAAGTGTGGGTGTGAACCCCGACATCTGTAGGTCCCTGCATGTGCTGGGGTCACAGGGCCTATGAAAACGGTGTTTCGGAATACTCTGTTGTAGAGCTCAGGGACAGGCATCCCGTCTTCTTTGGACAGACTGAATTCGTTAAACCCAAGACGAGAGCGACACTGAAGAGCCACATGTTCTCCTTCAGACACCACAGGGCTGGGCCAGGCAGAGAGGAAGGGCTTGTCCTGACCACCTGGGGGAGAAGGAGGCGCCACCTTAGAGAGGAGGATGTGGCACTCCCTCCCTCTATTCCTTTCCAGGACTCACCAACACACGCCATGCTGACGACCATGAGCGACATGGTGCTGCCGGTGCAGACAGGCGGCCGCGCCCCAGCTCAGCTCAGCAGCGCACAGGATGTTATTTGGCGCCCTGCCCATGCAGCTTACATGTTGACTACATCATGGGAGGGTGACGTACGCAGGCTCTTTCTACCTTGCATGAGGCCCAGTGGATGCTTGCTCAAGAGCGGAACACGGCTTCCTGGAAATTGTTCTCACTAGAATTGGCACCTCACGTCCTTCACTATGACCAACTCACAACACGTCTCAGATCCAACCTCCCGAACACAAGATGCCTAAAATCTGTGCTAACGTGAAAGACTTTTCATGTATTTTTATCCGAACACGAGATGCCTAAAATCTGTGCTAACATGAAAGACTTTTCATGTATTTTTTTTGTTTTTATCTGAGATTCAAACTCTTCTTCCTGTGTAATATGCAAAGTATCTAATAGGTATTATTAATGTTTTCGGAGTCATTGTGACTAATAAACCATTAGAATTTTTCATGCTTGTATTTCTAGTATTACAGCAGAACCAGCTAAAATGATTTAAATTCCCAGGGAAGGATTATGCAATTATTTACAATCTTAGAATTGTACTTTATCAGCAAAAACCACACCTGTAAATTCTGGAGTTTTGTAGTTTAATCTAAAATTTGTCTCATGACCCAAGATTCCAGAGTCCCAACTCTGGAGTTTGCTCTCTGTCTGTCTCTCTCCCTCCCTCGTTTTAAATTTTACAGAAATATCCAGTAACATAATGCTATAGAAAATCAAGTTTTCCCCAGCACGTTGGGAAGCCGAGGTGGGCGGATCAACTGAGATAAGGAGTTTGAGAGCAGCCTGGCCAATATAGTGAAACCGTGTCTCTGTTAAAAATCCAAAAATTAGCCGTGCCTGGTGGCAGGCACCTGTAACGCCAGCTACTCAAGAGGCTGAGGCACGAGAATCGCTTGAACCTGGGAGGCGGAGGTTGCAGTGAGCTGAGATTGTGCCACTGCAGTCCAGCCTGGGCGACAGAGCAAGACTCCGCCTCAAGAAAAAAAAAGCAAACAGCCTATAATAACAAATTAGAGGGCTCTGGCTACTAAATTTAAAGGGTTCTATAAGGCTACATAAAGTGCAGCATCATCAAGAGTGTGGACACAGAGAGCCCCTTAGCAGAAACAGTGTCTAAAATACATCCATGTACACACAGTCCCTTTAGAGTTGACAAAGGCTGCCGTGTGGTTTAAGGTGGCATAGAATGTCTTCTCAATAAATAATATTAAACCAATTGGTTACACCTAGGAAAAAATAAATCTAACTCACACTATAAAAACACTTCTTAGTTTTTATCTAGTTGTACATTTTTTATGATTTATATTTAAATTTGAGAAATAAAAGTCATATACGGTCATCCTTCACTATTCGTGGGTGATTGGTTTTGAGATCTCCACTCAGATACCAAAATCTGTAGATGCTCAAGCCTCTTATATGAAATGGCACAGCGTTTGCAAATAACCTATGCACATCCTCCTGTATACATGAAATCATCTCTAGATTACTTATAATTCCTGATACAGCCTACACACAGCTTCATTTGTGTCCATTCAACATAGTTATGCTTTTTGAAACTCTGTGGATACTTTCTCTCAATATTTTTGATTTATACTTGGTTCAATAAACACCTGT
Organism: Homo sapiens; assembly: GCF_000001405.40. Classification (NCBI taxonomy): domain Eukaryota; kingdom Metazoa; phylum Chordata; class Mammalia; order Primates; family Hominidae; genus Homo; species Homo sapiens. Next base: position 689,033 of record NW_003571060.1, on the reverse strand, counting down.
AAACCCCGCAGATATGGAGGAGTGACCGTATATTTATATTATGAAAGATGATGTGTTGATATGTGTCCCCATGGAGATGAGACTAACAAGGCCTATGATTCTACAAATGTTTCATTGTGGAATGACTCTGCCAGCTTTCCAGGTCTGCAGAGAGTAAGAGTATCACTTGTTCATATGATTCGTGATCCTTGGAACCTCCTATGTGCTACATCTTTGGATGGAAATTGGAGTCCCAGAGACAAATGAGGCTCCACCCTGCTTCCAGAAACTCAGAGTCCGGGGATGAGAACTCAGTGGGGAACAGATGGGATTATATGGACATGGTACTGATAACACCGGAAGCCTTAGGCAAGAAAAGAGTCCCATTACCGAAACCATGGGGGCAGACATGTTTATTTGAAGGATGGAAAACTACATTGAAGTTATTTTAAAAAATATATAAGTTTTACTGCTGACAGAAGACTGAAAGCTAGTCTGAGGGGAGGTGGAACAGCATGAGGGAAGGTGGAACAACACGTGTCTAAGTGCTGCGTTAAGAGGGAGCCTCTTGTATGTTTGGAATTGTGAGTTCCTCAGTGTGATTGCAGCCTCAAGTAGACTAGGAAGTAAGCCAGTTAGGTTGGAGAGGTGGGCAGGGGTCAAGTGAAATGGAGAACTGTGGGTTAAGCAAAGGAGTGTGTTTTTTCTCCAGCAGGCAGTGGGGACCTTAGACATTTGTAAGCAAGTGAGAGGCACATTCAGATTTGTGGTGTGAGGAAGATCGATGCCCTAAGATGCAGACTCACGCCTTCAGATTCCAGCTGCTGGTACATGGGAGCTGGCAACCCGGTTTTGAGACAGGGCTGTTGTCTCCCTAGAAGACGCCCTCAAGGCCTGACTGTGGTGCTCATGGGCAGGAGACAACTTTGGATCTGGACTCAGCATTTGGAAGTTCCGTGTACACGATGATATCTGTTGGGGGTGTCTTGGGCCTCTGAGAAGGGCGAGTGATTTTTCTCTGTGTGAAAACGCAGTGATTCAACTGTGTGTATGTCACCTCCTGAGGGTCTTGTTCATCAGAGTCCTGGAGAGAGGGAAATGCTGAGTGAGGGAGGGTGCTCACATTTTCCAGGACTCTTTGGGAATAACAGTAGCCACGAGCCCGGGCCGAGGAGTACCTACCTCGCTATTCGCTGTTCTGTTTCCTGCAGACTCTTGGTCCATTACCGCAGCATCTGTAGAAGATGGAAGTCAACAAAACAGCTCGGAGGGCACTTCTGGGTCCTCATTTCATAAGCAGATACCAACATACAGGGGGAGACCATAGGTGGCTGAGGTCCCTCAGTTGCCAACAGCAGACTCAGACATTCTATCTCTCTGAGCTCAAGGACCCATCCCATGAATAGCTCTGAGTTCCCATCCCATTGATTCTGTCTCCCACTTTCTGCCTGTCATGGAACCTTCTCCTGGATGTGAGTGGCTGCAGGGGACATGGGGATACAGTTCAGAATCAGGCAACGGTCTGTGAGTTGAAGGCAGGGACAGGGAGTCTGGTGCCCTCTCTAGAAAGTCCTGCCTCTGTGGCTGCTGCCTTGGGCCAGGGACCATCCTGTTTGTGAGGAACACACACCTGAGTGCTCCCATCCTGCTTCCCCACATGGCCCTGAGCTCTCTGGCCTCTGCTTCGTGAGACTTACTTTTTTTGTTGGAGCACCAGCGATGAAGGAGAAAGAAGAGGAGGATGAAGAGGATGATGACCACTGAGGTCCCAATCAGAATGTGCAGGTGTCGGGGGTTACCTGGAAGAAGATGAGACACCAATAAGAAGCTAATCTTAGCAGTTCCTCTTTATGAATTGTCTCGCATTTCTTGATTGACAGGTAACCACATAAAACACCTCTTTAGGACAAGCACCCAGATGGCAGGAGACCCAGCTTTCTCCTGCTTTTTCAGTTATAGCTCTCATAGTAACCATAGAACGTGCTGAGGATACGACTACTTTAGTTGAGATGTTTGACCCCTTCAAACCTCACATTGAAATTTCACCCCCACTGTGGGAGGTTGGGCCTCTTGAGAGGTGTTTGGGTCATGGAGGTGGATCCATCATGAACACATCAATGCTGTCCCAAGGAGACGGGGTTAGCAAGTTCCCCCTCTATTAGTTCCCGGAGAGCTGGTTGTTAAAAAGAGCTTGGAAGCTCCATCACTCCCCCTCCCCCTTGCTCCCTCTCTTGCCGTGTGATCTCTGTGGTCTCTGCACAGACAGACCCTCCTTCCCTTCTGCCAGAGTGGGAGCAGCCTGAGGCCATCACGAGAAATAGATGCTGGTGCCATGCTTCCAGTACAGCCTGCAGAACGGTGAGGCAAACCAATCTCTTTTCTTTAGAAGTTACCGAGGCTCAAGTGTTCCTTTAGAGCAACAAAAATGGCCTAAGACAGCAACTTCCTGAGATCAGGAGGAACGTCTCAGAACACCCTGGGCTGTCTTCCTGTTCTTCCTGGAGGACGTCATGCAGTGCTTTAGCTGAGTGCTTCCTGTGGCTCCAGGGTACAAAACCCAGGCTGGGCTGCTTTCTGGCTTCCCGCAGCTACACTGCAAATGGGGTGACTCCATATGTCCCGAGGAGCTTTTCTGAGCCTTGAGGGACTGGGTCACATTGAAATATAGGTTTCTGTTGTCACTCGCTGCTTATCTGTTAGTAATGAACCTGCCTATGTAACGTATTCTCTGTGTGTTCTGTCTCCCTGGAGTGACGGTGAGTGATAGGAATTGGCATAGGCCCAGGTGCAGTCCAGGAGGTGTTTAGAGTCTTCTCTGGGAAGACTGGACTGGGATTGATTCACAGCGAATGTGCTTTAGGGTTTCTACATCCACAGCATTCTTGAATCAAACAACTTGCATTCTCCAAGGAAAGAAAACAAAAGTGAAATCAAGATAAAAAAAGCGAAATAGAATTCTCTTATGTCAAACGGCCAGGAAATAGTGTTGAAGCCCGTGTGAAACCTGCTGCTCTTTGTGATCTCGGGAGACACATATTAGGCTGCTGTTCTACCCGAGAGGCTGGGGGAAGGACCACCCCCTCGGCCATCTATTGCTTCAAAACCACCTGTCCTCCTGTGAATTAGTAGGAAAGGGGAGCAGGAGCTAGTGCTGTCGCTGATCTCTGATTCCAAGATCTGGACTCACTCCAAGGAGTGTTAATGTTTACCTCCCCATGGTCTATCTGAATCTCCACAGGTGATTGGAAGTAGGGGTGAGGTGGGGGATTTGGGTGAGTGGGCAAGTTTTTTTTGTGATGACCAGAGCACTTTCTCTATTCCAGGATCTGTGCTGGAGGATTCAGCGGGCTTTCACATTTTCTATATGATCTCATGCTCACAGAAAGCCAAATAGGGAAGAGGTTTTAGGCTCATTGCCTAATGGATAAGATAAAGGATCAAAGAAGTAATTATAGAGAAATAGAAAAACGATGATTGGAATTCAGGTGCCTTTGTCATTCGTGTGTGTTTTATTATATTTATGTATTTCTTATTTTTATTTTTTGAGATAGAGTCTCCTTGTGTCCCCCAGGCTGGAGTGCAGTGATGCAATCTCCACTCACTGCAACCTCCACCTACTGGGTTGAAGTCATTCTCCTGCTTCATCCTCCAGAATAGGAGCTGGGATTACAGGGATGCACCATCGTGCTCGGCTAATTTTTGTATTTTTAGTAGAGATAGGGTTTCACCACGTTGGCCAGGCTGGTCTGGAACTCCTGACTTCATGGAATCCACCCACCTTGGCCTCCTGCAGTGCTAGGTTACAGGCGTGAGCCACTGTTCACAGACTTGTATATTATGCTATAATAAGTCTCTTCATTTCCACCACCACTCATATATCTGTCACTCCTTTGCCAGGTATTGATTTATGTGTAGGATGAATAAATCTCAGAAAGAAATTAATTAAGCGAGGATTAAACAAGTAGGAAAATCAAACCCAGTAAGCCTTTCCAGTCAATGATTCTACCTCACAAACATATCTTATATCCATCTACTTCATTCATTTAGTGTCTAAATCAGCACCACATTTCACCAGTGGGGCGGCAATTGCCTTTTCCACGGTCTCCTAGATTCCAGTTATGCACCTGGGCCTCCCTTATTTTCATGTCAGTCATATTAATCATGTAGGGATTCCTGGTTACCCCGAGGTGAATCCAATGGCTGTGAGTGTCAAACACACACTCCTTGTTGCTCCTTAGTTTCCTGTGTACCCAGTGTGCTCTCCGTCTCTCTACAGTCGTCTTGTCATTCTCCCCACCTCATTCCCAGCATTTGAGTCAGAGCCTCTTCCTTCCACATCAGATTGTTTTCACCTTTGTGCCTTCATGGCTGACAGCTGTGTGTGCAAAATCCTTCCGCCAATCTTTCAGGGGTTCATTCCGTGTTTTTCATTAATGTCACAAATATCTGAATAGTGAGACCTTCTTTGTCACCTGAAATCATACACTCAGCATTATCTATTATTGATTTTGAATTCTGGCTGGGCACAGTGGCTCACGCCTGTAGTCCCATTACTTTGGCATGCTGAGACGGTCGGATCACTTGAGGTTGGGAGTTTCAGACAAGCTTGGCCAACGTGGTGAAACATCCTCTCTACAAAAAATATACAAAAAGAATTAGCCGGGCACGGTGGCAGTTGCCTGTAATCCCAGCTACTCGAGAGGCGGAGGCAGGAGAATCACTTGAATCCAGGAGACGCAGGTTGCAGTGAGCCAAGATCGTGACACTGCACTGTAGCCTGGAAGACAGAGGGCGACTCTGTCTCAATAAACAAAAGAACAAACAAAAAATAGATTTCATGCACAGATGCTTCCCAATGGACCATTCATTTATAGATCCACTTGTGCGTTCATTTTCTGCCCTCCCATTTAACCATCTGCAATATCAGTGTCCCAAGGGCAGAGGCCAAATGCATCTTGTTCACTGTTTGTGGAAGGCAGGAGAATGCTGTCCCACCCCAAAATGTCCCTGTCCTAGCCTCCATAGCTTGTGAATATGTTATTTTACATGGAAAGGAGGAATGAAGATTGCAGATGGAATTATGGTTGCTAATCAGCTGAACTTAAAACAAGGGTATCCTGGATGATTTCCAGGAGATTATGAGGGATTTTCATCTTGGTGAACCCAATAGAATCCCCAAGTTTTCAAAAGATGAGGAAGAAGGGAGAGCAGCACTCAGAGAAAGAGGTGTGGTAAGGAAGAAGGCACTGAGTGATGCCATGTGAGATGTGACCAGTCTTTGTGGGCTTTGAGGAAGGAGGAAGGGGACCAGGAGCCAAGGAACTGGGAGCCTTTAGAAGCTGGGACAAGTGAGAAGCAGATTCGTGCCTGGAATCCTCAGAGGGAAGGCAGCCTTGCTGTCACCTTGATTTTAGCCCAGTAAGATGCACTTCCTACTTTGAGCTACAGCACTGTAAGATAATTAAAAAACCGTTTTGTTTTCACCCACGAATCTTGTGGAAATTTGTTATGGCAACAATAGGAAAAGGTTCCACACTGCACAGCCTGAGCATGGGGCCGTGGCTGAATGAGTCAGTGAGTCGAAGTGTGCGTGCATGAGCTCTGTTCTCTGTTACGGCAAGGCTCTTTCTCTGCGGAGTCAGCCAGGGTTGCTTCATGACCTACAGGAGCTCATTCCTTGGCAAGTGGAACTTCTCTAAAACACCTTGCCCTCATCAGATGTTCCCTTCCCTTCCCTCTCTCAAGTCTCCAGGAATTTATCCTCCAGTTAGGAATGCAGGTAGAACAAACATTGCATTTTTCCTGAGAAGGATGTCAGATTGGCAATCATTCTTCTAGCTTGTAGGAGGTCTCAGCTCCATAAAATGAGAGATGAAGAGATTTCACTGAGCCCTGTGTTGGGCCCAGATCCCTTTCGCTGTAGGAGTATCTGGAGTTCAGAGATGGTGGAAGACAAGTGTACAATGTCAGAGCTGTGAGATGCTGAGTCAACGCCTGAATCCAAGGTTCCCACCTCCCCAGGGTTCCAAAAGCGGATATAAGAGGGTTCTGTACTCACCGGTTTTGGAGCTTGGTTCAGTGGGTGAAGGCCAACTATTTGAAGGGTTTCCTAGAACATGAGACAGGAGAGAGGTGAGGAAATGAGGGTGTCTGTCCTCCACTCAGTGGAAATCTTTGAGGATGGTTCATGGCCAACACTCTCTTATCTAATATTGAGCCCTGGGAGTCCTGGGATCCTTTTTTCCATAATTTTTTTATATGACACCCACTGTCTTGAGACTTCAAGATATAAAGAGAAAACAGGAGCATCACACTACCTGATCTCAAAATATGTTACAGAGCTGTAGTAAGCAAAATAGCATGACATTGGCATAAAGAAAGGCACATAGAACAACGGAGCAGAATGAATAACACAGATATATTCCATGCATTTACATCCAATGGTTTTTTATTTTTTCTTTTGAGATGGAGTCTTGCTCTGTCACTCAGGCTGGAGTGCAGAGGTGCAATCTCGGTTCACTGCAACCTCAGCCTCCTGGGTTCAATCATTCTCTTGCCTCAAATTCCTGAGTAGTGGTATTACAGGTGCTGACCACCATGCTCAGCTAATTTTTATATTTTTAGTGGAGACGATGTTTCATCACGTTGGCCAGACTAATCTTGAACTCCTGGCCTCAGGTGATCCACCCACCTCGGGCTCCCAAAGTGCTGAAATTGCAGGTGTTAGCCACCAAGCCCAGCCCATCCAATGGACTTTGACAAAGATGCCAAGAACTCACAATCAGGAAAGGACAGTCTTTTCAATAAACAGTGCAGGGAAACCTGGACATCTACATGCAGAGGAATGAAACTGCAACTCTACCTGTCACCATACACAAAAATCAAATGAAAATGGATTAAAGATGTGAGTCTAAGGCCTGAACCTATGAAACACGTAGAACAAAATATTGGGGAAATGCTCCAGGACGTTTGTCTGAAGGAAGACATTTTGTTTTAAACCTTCAAAACACAAGTAATCGAAGCAAAAATAGACCATTGGGATTACCTCAAACTAAGCAACTTCAGCACTGCTAAAAATAAACCAACAAAGTGAAGAGACAACCCACAGATTGGGAGCAAATATGTGCAAACTATGCATCTGAGATGGGATTAATAACTAGAAATATAAGAAGCTCAAACAACTCAATAAAACAAATGATTTAATTGAAAAAGGAGCAAAAGACATGAAATTTCCCCACATACGAAAAAGTGCTCAGTATCACTCATCATCAGAGAAACGCAAATTAAAATCAAAGTGAGTTTTCATCTCACCCCATTAAAATGGCTTTTAGGCCGGGTGAGGTGGCTCACTTGTGTCATCCTAGAACTTTGAGAACCTGAGGTGGGTGAATCTCATAAGGTTGGGAGTTTGAGACCAGTCTGACCCACATAGAGAAACGCTGTCTCTACTAAAAATACAAAAATTAGTAGGGCGTGGTGGCGTGTGCCTGTAATTCCAGCTACTCGGGAGGCTGAGGCAGGAGAATCGCTTGAACCTGGGAGGTGGAGGTTGTGGTGAGCCGAGATAGCGCCACTGCACTCCAGCCTGGGTGAGAAGAGCAAAACTCCATCTCAAAATAAAATGAAATAAAATAAAATGGCTTTTAGCTGCAAGACAGGCAAAAGAAATGCTGGCAAGGTGGTAGAGAAAGGAGAACCCTGGTACCCTGTTGGGAGGAGTGTAAATTAGTACAGCCATTACGGAGAAAAGTATGGAAGTCCTTTAAAGAACTAAAAAGAGGTTGGGTGAGGTGGATCATGCCTGTAATCCCGGCACTTTGGGAGACTGAGGCGGGCACCTCAGTTGAGGTCATGAGTTTGAGAGCAGCCCAGCCAACATGGGGAAACCGCATCTATACTAAAAAAACCAAAAAGTAGCCAGGCATGGTGGTGTGCACCTGTAATCCCAGCTACTAGGGAGGCTGAGGCAGGAAAATCATTTGAACCCAGGAGGCGGAGGTTGCAATGAGCCAAGGTTGCACCACTTTGACTCCAGCTTGGGCTAAGGAGGGAAACTCTTTCTCAAAAAAGAAAAAAAAAAAAAAAAGAGAACTTTCATAGTATCCAGCAATTTCACTACTGGGTTTATATCCAAAGGAAAGTAAATCAACATATCGAAGTGATATCTGCACTCGTATGATTGGTGCAGCACTGTTCACAGTAGCCAAGATGAGGAGTCAACCTACCTGCCCATCAGTGGGTGAATGGATAGAGAGAATGTAGTACATACGCACAGTGGAGACTACTCATCCATAGAAAGAATAACATCCTGTCATTTGCAGCCACATGGATGGAACTGGAGGTCATTAAAAAGATTCCCATTTCTCACCCATATACAGGAGCTAAAAGGTGGATCTCATGAAGGTAGAGAGTAGAATGGTGGCTACTGGAGGACAGGAAGAAAAGGGTGGAGGGTAAAAAAAATGTATATATATATATATATAAAAATGTATTTATGACCACTAGACTTTACACTTAAAAATGGTAAATGTGGCTGGGCCTGGTGGCCCATGCCTGTAATCCCAGCACTTTGGGAGGCTGATGCGGGTGGATCACGTGGTCAGGAGTTCGAGACCAGCTCGACCAACATGGTGAAACCACCTCTCTACTAAAAATACAAAAAGTAGCCTGGCGTGGTGGTGCGTGCCTGTAGCACTAGCTACTCAGGTGGCTGAGGCAGGAGAATCGCTTGAACCCAGGAGGCGGAGGTTGCAGTGAGCTGAGATTGTGCCACTGCACTCCATCATAGGGGACAGAGCTAGACTCCACCTCAAAAAAAAATGTTAAAAGTGGTAAGCTATATAGGTATATTTATCCTCAATAAATATTTCTTCAAAGAAAAGTAAAGGGTGTAGGGGTTGCTGGTGATGACATCTCTGTGTGGGTGAGAGGCCAGGATGGGCTTCTGGGAAATGGGTAAGGTTGAGGGGCTGAGGGAACCTCTGATCTCCCCAAACTGAGCCCAGTCTCCCTCCTCTGGGTCTCTCCTGACCGCTTTCTCCATCTGCCTGGGTGCCTGGAGCCCTGGCCGTGGGCCTCCATGCAGGCCATGTAGGAGGGTTTGGAGGTGCCCTGTCGGCCATCCTGTGCCCTGATCCCTCCCTCACACCGAGGCTGCGTCTTCTCTCTGCATCTGTCCATGCTTCTCTCCATCCTCAGCAGGAAGCTCCTCAGCTAAGGCTCTAGGATCATAGGACATGGGACAGCCATGGGCTTTCCTCACCTGTGACAGAAACAAGCAGTGGGTCACTTGACTTTGACCACTCGTATGGAGAGTCATGGAAAGAGCCGAAGCATCTGTAGGTCCCTCCGTGGGTGGCAGGGCCCAGAGGAAAGTCAGCCTGGAATGTTCCGTTGACCTTGGGCCCTGCAGGGAGCCTACGTTCATGGGCCTCCCCTTCCCTGGATAGATGGTACATGTCATAGGAGCTCCGGGAGCTGCAGGACAAGGTCACATTCTCTCCTGCCAGAACCGTGGGGCCCAGCTGGGCTGAGAGAGAAGGTTTCTCATATAGACCTGGAAGGAGAAGAGGCAGTTTCCTCAGGGAGGATCTTCTTTGTCACAGCTCCCTTCACCTGAGCTGAGAACTCACTCCCCTGTTCTATGACCTAATGCTCTCTCTCTCTCTCTCTCACCCTCTACCCCATCGCTCTTCATGTCTATTTCCTCCTTCCACCTTCTCTGTCTCTCTAGGTCTCTGACCTCACTTCCCCACCTCTAGATATGTTTTCTCTTTTTGGATTGTTTTATTCTCTCTGACTCTCCTTGGATTGGTTGACTTGATGTTACTTTTTTTAATTCTGAGTTTCTCACTTTGTGTCCTGTCCATAACTTTCTGCATATTTCTATCTATTATCTATCGATCTATCTATTTATCTATTCGGTGCCTATCTACAAATTCTCTACCTGTCATCTATATCTATATATCATCTATTTATCCATCAATTGTCTATCTATCCATCAATCATCTATTATCTATATCTATGTATCATCTCTCTCTCTCTATGATTTCTCTATGTCTGCCTCTGTATCTCTATGTATTATCTATCTATCTGTCTTCATCATCATCATCTCTATGTCTCATCTATTAATGAATCAATCAATCATCATCTATGTATCTATAACCTATTATCTATCATCTACCTATTTATCATCTATCTATATCTATCCATCTATCATCTGTCTTGCTCTGCCTCTCGGTCTCTCTAGTTCTCTTTGGAATCTCTGCAATTCATCCCCACATCTCCATCTTTCAATGTCCTTGTGCCTCTCCCTCAGGAGTCTAATTTTAGTGCTTTTCTCTGCTCCCTTCCATCATTCTCACCACTCCTCTGCCCTCTTTTCTCTCTCTTTATGTGTCTGTGAGTCTCTCAATCTCCTTCCTCTGGCTCATTCTCTGTGTGTTTATGTCTTTGCTTTTTGGTGTCCCTGATTTCTCTCTGTGCCTCTCACTGATCCTCTCATAAGTGGGCTTATTTGGAATATGAGCCTCAGAATCCAGTCTGGAGACTACAAGTTCACACAGCATACAGGGGTTGGTGTTGTGGGGCCATGATATCCTGGGACGATTACTCTCCATTACATGGAAGGCAGAGGTGTCAGAATAAACATGGCATCTGTAGGTGCCACAAGGCCTGAGGCCACAGGGCCCAACTCAGGTCAGAAATATGGGTGTCCTTGGGTTCTCCTGGTAGAGAACACTTTGTGGAGGTAAAACAGAAATGAAACTTCTAACCTGTGCCAGGTCTCTGAGCAAAGTCAGCATGGAGGGACACCTCTCTCTGGGACATGTCTGTCTGTGTGTCTCCTTTAACTCTTTCTGTCTTTTCTAACTCCCGGTATGGCCCCTGTGTCTGTTCTCTGTTATGACACCTGGTCTCTACTTGTGTCTCCTGTTTCTCTGTCTCTGTTGGCACAGACCTCACCAAGTCAGTCTCTCTCCATAAGAATACCAAGCTCATCTTCCTTACAGCCACCTGGGTCTCCAATTCCTGGATCATTCACTCTGCATCCCAATGACAATGAGAAGAAAGTCTGGACACTCTCACCTATGATCACGATGTCCAGAGGGTCACTGGGAGCTGACACCTGATAGGGGGAGTGAGTAACAGAACCGTAGCATCTGTAGGTCCCTGCCAGGTCTTGCGTCATGCGACTGATGGAGAAGTTGGCCTTGGAGACCCCATCATGGTGTTCTCCAATGAGGCGCAAAGTGTCGTTAAACATCCCCTCTCTGTGCAGAAGGAAGTGTTCAAACATGACATCTGACCAACACTGCAGGATGACTGTCTCTTCTGATTTCACCAGGCGACCTGGGTGGGCCAGGAGGGAAGGTTTTCTGTGGACTCCTAGGAAGAGAGGTTGTGAGTTTAGAAGGTGTCTCTCTTTATCATCCCATCCATGGCACCTGGATTGAGTCAGGCTTCCCCTTCCTGGTGTCTTATCTCTCTCCTTCCTCTCTGTGTCTTCATGTTCTTTTCTGTGCCCATAACTCCTGGTGCAGGTCCTTCCATCTGTCTCCCTCACTCTTCTCTGTCCCTCTGTCTCTAGTAGCCTCTGATTCCCTTGCTGCTGGGCTCAGCCTCATCTCTTGGGCTGTTGTATCTATTTCGAACTAATGTCTTTCCTGCTGTCTATGTGGGGGTGGAAGAGGAACCAGGATAGGCTGCACATCCAGGCTCTTAGCAGCCTGGTTCAATCTCTTTTGGACGAATTGGAATCCTTGGCAGGAGGTATGAACTGATCAGTAAGGCAGGCACCAGTGGCCACACACCCTGTTCCTGGTAGGGACTGGGAGCCACTCTTGCCATGCCAGTGCCAGCTTCCATAGGCTGGCTCCTGGTGCTGGTTGGAGGAGTATCAACCCCTCCCTATGTGGATGGAGCCTGGTGGTGGCATCATCATCTGAGCCTTGCTGATCTCAGTGTAGCCAACCTTCTCCTTGTTTGGTTTCTTTAATTAATTAATTAATTTTGGCGACAGAGTCTCACTCCTTTGCCCAGGCTGGAGTGAAGTGGTGTGGTCTAGGCTCACTGCAACCTCTGTCTCCTGGGTTCAAGTGATTCTCCTGCCCTCAGCCTCCCAAGTCGCTAGGATTACATGCACCTGCCACCATGCCTGGCTATCCTTGTGTTGTTTCTTAACTTGTCCTTGACCTGGGTTCCAGTGTTGGTTTCCTGTTGCTGCTGTAGAAAATTATCAGAAGCATGGCACCAGGAGAGAGCACACTAACCCCTTCCAATTCTGGAGACAGAAATCGGACCCTGTTTGTCGTGGGTAAAATCAAGGCACCTGCAGGGCTTCGTTCCCTCTGGAGACTCAGGAGAATCAGTTCCTTGACTTTTCCAGCCTCTATAGGCCACCTGCATTCATGGCTCCTGGACTTCCTCCACCTTCAAAGCTGATGGAGACTCCCATTATGCTGCTGTAATCCCCACTCCCCTCTTCCTCCTCCTTTCATGTGGACCCCTGTGACTACACTGAGCCCATCAGGACAGTCCAGGCTGTCTCCCCATCTCAAGGTCAACTCATCAACAACCTGAGCTCCATCTTCTCCTTCAGTCCCTTCCCCTATATCATAAATAGTCACAGACTCCAGGGATTAGAATGTAGTCATCACTGGGGACAATTATTCTTCCCACCACAGCACCCATTTCCCTGTATTCAATCCCCCTTTACCCCAAATACAGTCAGGACTTGCATGATGGGACCCGCAAGGACACGCCCACCAGGAGCTCTGGGATTCAGGAGGTGGGACAAGGAGAATCCCAGACAGGAGCCCTCTGACCTGTGACCGTGATCTCCAGGGGGTTGCTGGGTGCCGACCACCCACTGGGGTAGTGTGGTTGTGAACCCCGACATGTATAGGTCCCTGCGTGTGCTGGGGTCACAGGGCCCATGAAAAGGCTGTTCCAGAATATTATGTTGTAGAGCTCAGGGACAGGCACCCCATCTTCCTTTTACAGACTGAAGTTGTTAAACCCAAGATAAGAATGACACTGAAGAATCACATGTCCTGGAGGCACCACAGGGCTTGGCCAGGCAGACAGCAAGGGCTTGTCCTGACCACCGTGGGGAGAAGGAGGCACCGCCTTAGAGAGGAGGATGTGGAGCCGCCCCTCCCTCCCTGTGCTCTGAAGATTCTCCTCGCTTTCCAAGTTTCTATGGCTGCTATCACACCTTGGTGCCCAGGGCTAAAGGAAGGACCCATCCCGCAAACACAAGGTGTCTCCCTACAACAAAAGTGTCAGCTGAGAACTTTGAGCAAGTGCTGAGTAAGAGACTCCTACTAGATTTTAATACTGTAAGATTACTCACATAAAACAACACAGGGTAGACATGGGGTGGAGGGCATGTCCTTTGAGAATGGAATATCAGCCGATGCCTGAACGAAAATAAACAACTGAGTCCCCATCAGAGGATTGGAATGTCAGGGCCATGGCTGTGGTTTTCCCACCTCTTCTGGTAGAATGACAGCAGCCACACTGCAGCCCCTACCGTCATGGAAACGCTGAAGTGTGTGAGTAACACCTTTGTCCTCAGAGGATCTGCTGTTCCTACCACTTCCCCACCACACACCCCAGCTTTGAGCACCGTAGTCTAACCCTGGTCCCCACAGAACTTGACTCTGCCAAGGGAATGAAAGGCCAGGGAGGCAAGGTCAGAAATGTGGGCCCAGCACCCCAGGGTCCCTTCTTCCTAGTTTATGAGAGACTCCCTGACAGGACTTCCCTCCCATTTCAGGAAAATCCTCTTATGTGGGGAGATGACACCCGAAGGTTGGGAGAAGGACTCACCCTCATGTGGCCAGGCCCCCTGCAGCAAGAAGAACCCTGGAAAGAAAGATCATGATGGATGACCCATCTGCAGGCAAACCAGGGCACCCTTGCTGCCCCCACTGGGCTGTGAGTCTTGGTAGCCAGGCCCTTCCTGGGCTGAAGGTAAACTCACCCTCAGTGCCTACCTGCACCCAAGAACAGGGCTGTCGGCTGTGCAGAGACCCAGCCTCCAGGTCCATATCCCCACCTCAAGCCCATATCTCCACTCCAGGCCCATATCTCCACTCCAGGCCGATATTTCCACCCTAAGCCCATATCGCCAATCCAGGCCCATATCTCCAATCCAGGCTCAGATCTCCACCCTGGGCCCATATCTCCAATCCAGGCCCTTATCTCCACTCCAGGTCCATATCTCCTCTCCAGTCCCATATCTCCACTCCAGGCCCATATATCCTCTCCAGTCCCATATCTCCACACCCAGGCCCGTATCTCCATCCTAGGCACATATCTCCTCTCCAGGCCCAGATATCGACCTCTAGGCCCATATCTCCACTCCTGGCCCATATCTCCACTCCAGGCCCAGATATCGACCTCTAGGCCCATATCTCCACTCCTGGCCCATATCTCCACTCCAGGCCCATGTCTCCACTTCAGGCCCATATCTCTACTGCAGGCCCATAACTCCACCTCCAGGCCCATGACTCCACTCCAGGCCCATATCTCCACCTCCAGGCCCATATCTCCCCTCCAGGTTCCTATCTCCCCTCCAGGTTCCTATCTCCACTCCAGGCCCAGATCTCCACTACAGTCCCATCACTCCACCTCCAGGCCTATATCTCGACCTCTGGGCCCAGATCTCCACTTCTAGGCCCATCACTCCATCTCTAGGCCCATATATCCACTCCAGGCCCAGATCTCCACTCCAGGCCCATAACTCCACCTCCAGGCCTATATCTCCACCTCTGGGCCCAGATCTCCATCCCCTCACTCCCTCCCTCTATTGCTTTCCAGGACTCACCAACACACGCCATGCTGACGACCAAGAGCGACATGGTGCTGCCGGAGCAGACAGGCAGCCGCGACCGAGCTCAGCTCAGCAGCGCACAGGATGTTATTTGGCGCCCTGCCCATGCAGTTTACATGTTGACCACATCATGGGAGGGTGACGTACGCAGGCTCTTTCTACCTTGCATGAGGCCCAGTGGGTGCTCGCTCAAGAGCGGAACACGGCTTCCTGGAAATTGTTCTCGCTAGAATTTGACACCTAGTGTCCTTCACTATGACCAACTCAAAACACGTCTGAGATCCAACCTCCCGAACACGAGATGCCTAAAATCTGTGCTAACATGAAAGACTTTTCATGTATTTCTATTGTTTTTATCTGAGATTCAAACTCTTCTTCCTGTGTAATATGCAAAATATCTAATAGGTATTATTAATGTTTTCAGAGTCATTGTCACTAATAAACCATTAGAATTTTTCATGCTTGTATTTCTAGTATTACAGCAGAACCAGTTAAAATGATTTAAATTCCCAGGGAAGGATTATGCAATTATTTACAATCTTAGAATTGTACTTTATCAGTAAAAACCCCACCTGTAAATTCTGGAGTTTTGTAGTTTAATCTAAAATTTGTCTCATGACCCAAGATTCCAGAGTCCCAACTCTGGAGTTTGATCTCTCTCTGTCTCTCTCCCTCCCTCATTTTAAATTTTACAGAAATATCCAGTAACATAATGCTATAGAAAATCAAGTTTCCCCAGCACGTTGGGAAGCCGAGGTGGGCGGATCAACTGAGATAAGGAGTTTGAGAGCAGCCTGGCCAATATAGTGAAACCGTGTCTCTGCTAAAAATCCAAAAATTAGCCGTGCCTGGTGGCAGGCACCTGTAACGCCAGCTACTCAAGAGGCTGAGGCATGAGAATCGCTTGAACCTGGGAGGCAGAAGTTGCAGTGAGCTGAGATTGTGTCACTGCAGTCCAGCCTGGGCGACAGAGCAAGACTCCGCCTCAAGAAAAAAAAGCAAATAGCCTATAATAACAAATTAGAGAGCTCTGGCTACTAAATTTAAAGGGTTCTATAAGGCTACATAAAGTGCAGCATCATCAAGAGTGTGGACACAGAGAGCCCCTTAGCAGAAACAGTGTCTAAAGTACATCCGTGTACACACAGTCCCTTTAGAGTTGACAAAGGCTGCCGTGTGGTTTAAGGTGGCATAGAATGTCTTCTCAATAAATAATATTAAACCAATGGGTTATACCTAGGAAAAAATAAATCTAACTCACACTATAAAAACACTTCTTAGTTTTTATCTAGTTGTACATTTTTTATGATTTATATTTAAATTTGAGAAATAAAAGTCATATACGGTCATCCTTCACTATTCGTGGGTGATTGGTTTCGAGATCTCCACTCAGATACCAAAATCTGTAGATGCTCAAGCCTCTTATATGAAATGGCACAGAGTTTGCAAATAACCTATGCACATCCTCCTGTATACATGAAATCATCTCTAGATTACTTATAATTCCTGATGCAGCCTACACACAGCTTCATTTGTGTCCATTCAACACAGTTCTGCTTTTTGTAACTCTGTGGATACTTTCTCTGAATATTTTTGATTTATACTCGGTTCAATAAAGAACTGTAAACCCCACAGATATGGAGGAGTGACTGTATATTTATAGTGTGAAAGATGATGTGTTGATATGTGTCCCTGTGTAGATGAGACTAACAAGGCCTATGATTCTACAAATGTTTCATCTTGGAATGACTCTGCCAGATTTCCAGGTCTGCAGAGAGTAAGAATATCACTTGTTCATGTGATTCACGATCCTTGGAACCTCCTATGTGCTACATCTTTGGATGGAAATAGGAGTCCCAGAGACAAATGAGGCTCCACCCTGCTTCCAGAAACTCAGAGTCCGGGGGTGAGAACCCAGTGGAGAACAGATGGGGTTATGTGGACATGGTAATGATAATGGAAGTCTTAGGCAAGAAAAGAGTCCCATTACCGAAACCATGAGGGCAGACATGTTTATTTGAAGGAGGGAAAACTACATTGAAATTATTTTAAAAAATATATAAGTTTTACTGCTGACAGAAGGCTGAAAGATACTCTGAGGGGAGGTGGAACAGCATGAGGGAAGGTGGAACAGGACGTGTCTAAGTGCCGTGTTAAGAGGGAGCCTCTTGTATGTTTGGAACTGTGAGTTCCTCAGTGTGATTGCAGCCTCAAGTAGACTAGGAAGTAAGCCAGTAAGGTTGGAGAGGTGGGCAGGGGTCAAGTGAAATGGAGAATTGTGGGCTAAGCAAAGGAGTGTGTTTTTTCTCCAGCAGGCAGTGGGGACCTTAGACATTTGTAAGCAAGAGAGAGGCACATTCAGATTTGTGGTGTGAGGAAGAGCGATGCCCTAAGATGCAGACTCACGCCTTCAGATTCCAGCTGCTGGTACATGGGAGCTGGCAACCCGGTTTTGAGACAGGGCTGTTGTCTCCCTAGAAGATCCCCTCAAGGCCTGACTGTGGTGCTCATGGGCAGGAGACAACTTTGGATCTGGACTCAGCATTTGGAAGTTCCGTGTACACTCTGGTATCTGTTGGGGGTGTCTTGGGCCTCTGAGAAGGGCGAGTGATTTTTCTCTGTGTGAAAACGCAGTGATCCAACTGTACGTATGTCACCTCCTGAGGGTCTTGTTCATCAGAGTCCTGGAGAGAGGGAAATCCTGAGTGAGGGAGGGTGCTCACGTTTTCCAGGACTGTTTGGGAATAACACTAGCCACGAGGCTGGGCCGAGGAGCACCTACCTCGCTATTCGCTGTTCTGTTCCCTGCAGGCTCTTGGTCCATTACAGCAGCATGTGTAGGAGACGGAAGTCAACAAAAGAGCTCGGAGGGCACTTCTGGGTCCTCATTTCATAAGCAGATACCAACAAACAGGGGGAGGCCATAGGTGCCTGAGGTCCCTCAGTTGCCAACAGCAGACTCAGACATTCTATCTCTCTGAGCTCAAGGACCCATCCCATGAATAGCTCTGAGTTCCCATCCCATTGATTCTGTCTCCCACTTTCTGCCTGTCATGGAACCTTCTCCTGGATGTGAGTGGCTGCAGGGGACATGAGGATACAGTTCAGAATCAGGCAACGGTCTGTGAGCTGAAAGCAGGGACAGGGAGTCTGGTGCCCTCTCTAGAAAGTCCTGCCTCTGTGGCTGCTGCCTTGGGCCAGGGACCATCCTACCTGTGAGGAACACACACCTGAGTGCTCCCATCCTGCTTCCCCACATGGCCCTGAGCTCTCTGGCCTCTCCTTCGTGAGACTTACTTTTCTTGTTGGAGCACCAGCGATGAAGGAGAAAGAAGAGGAGGAGGATGAAGAGGATGATGACCACTGAGGTCCCAATCAGAACGTGCAGGTGTCTTGGGTTACCTGGAAGAAGATGAGACACCAATAAGAAGCTAATCATAGCAGTTCCTCTTTATGAATTGTCTCGCATTTCTTGATTGACAGGTAACCACGTAAAACACCTCTTTAGGACAAGCACCCAGATGGCGGGAGACCCAGCTTTCTCCTGCTTTCTCAGTTATAGCTCTCAAAGTAACCATAGAATGTGCTGAGGACACAACTACTTTAGTTGAGATGTTTGACCCCTTCAAACCTCACATTGAAATTTCACCCCCATTGTGGGAGGTTGGGCCTCTTGAGAGGTGTTTGGGTCATGGAGGTGGATCCATCATGAACAGATCAATGCTGTCCCAAGGAGACGGGGTTAGCTAGTTCCCCCTCTATTAGTTCCTGGAGAGCTGGTTGTTCAAAAGAACTTGGAAGCTCCATCGCTCCCCCTCCCCCTTGCTCCCTCTCTTGCCGTGTGATCTCTGTGGTCTCTGCACAGACAGACCCTCCTTCCCTTCTGCCAGAGTGGGAGCAGCCTGAGGCCATCACGAGAAATAGATGCTGGTGCCATGCTTCCAGTACAGCCTGCAGAACGGTGAGGCAAACCAATCTCTTTTCTTTAGAAGTTGCCCAGGCTCAAGTGTTCCTTTAGAGCAACAAAAATGGACTAAGACAGCAACGTCCTGAGATCAGGAGGAACGTCCCAGAGCAGCCTGGGCTGTCTTCCTGTTCTTCCTGGAGGAGGACGTCATGCAGTGCTTTAGCTGAGTGCTTCCTGTGGCTCCAGGGTACAAAACCCAGGCTGGGCTGCTTTCTGGCTTCCCCCAGCTACACTGCAAATGGGGTGACTCCATATGTCCCGAGCAGCTTTTCTGAGCCTTGAGGGACTGGCTCACATTGAAATGTAGGCTTCTGTTTTCACTCGCTGCTTATCTGTTAGTAATGAACCTGCCTATGTAACGTATTCTCTGTGTGTTCTGTCTCCCTGGAGTGACGGTGAGTGATAGGAATTGGCGTAGGCCCAGGTGCAGTCTAGGAGGTGTTTAGGGTCTTTTCTGGGAAGACTGCACTGGGATTGACACACAGCGAATGTGCTTTAGGATTTCTACATCCACAGCATTCTTGAGTCAAACAACTTGCGTTCTCCAAGGAAAGGAAACAAAAGTGAAATCAAGATAAAAAAGCGAAATAGAGTTATCTTATGTCCAACAGCCAGGAAATCGTGTTGAAGCCCCTGTGAAACGTCCTACTCTTTGTGATCTCGGGAGACACATGTTAGGCTGCTGTTCTACCTGAGAGGCTGGGGGAAGGACCACCCCCTCCACCATCTATTGCTTCAATACCACCTGTCCTCCTGTGAATTAGTAGGAAAGGGGAGCAGGAGCTAGTGCTGGTGCTGATCTCTCATTCCAAGATCTGGACTCACTCCAAGGAGTATTAATGTTTACCTCCCCATGGTCTATCTGAATCTCCACAGGTGATTGGAAGTAGGGGTGAAGTGGGGGATTTGAGTGAGAGGGCAAGTTTTTTTTGTGATGAACAGAGCACTTTCTCTATTCCACGATCTGTGCTGGAGGATTCAGCGGGCTTTCACATTTTCTATATGGTCTCATGCTCACAGAAAGCCAAATACGGAAGAGGTTTTAGGCTCATTGCCTAATGGATAAGACAAAGGATCAAAGAAGTAATTATAGAGAAATACAAAAATGATGATTGGAATTCAGGTGCCTTTGTCATTCGTGTGTGTTTTATTATATTTATGCATTTCTTATTTTTATTTTTTGAGACGGAGTCTCCTTGTGTCACCCAGGCTGGAGTGCAGTGATGCAATCTCCACTCACTGCAACCTCCACCTCCTGGGTTGAAGTCGTTCTCCTGCTTCATCCTCAAGAGTAGGAGCTGGGATTACAGGGATGCACCACCATGCTCGGCTAATTTTTGTATTTTTCATAGAGACAGGGTTTCACCATTTTGGCCAGGCTGGTCTGGAACTCCTGACTTCAAGTGATCCACCCGCCTTGGCCTCCTGCAGTGCTGGGAATTGCCTTTTCCACGGCCTGAGCATGGGGCCGTGGCTGAATGAGTCAGTGAGTCGAAGTGTGCGTGCATGAGCTCCGTTCTCTGTTAAGGCAAAGCTCTTGCTCTGCTGAGTCAGCCAGGGTTGCTTCATGACCAACAGTAATTCATTCCTGGGCAAGTGGAACTTCTCTAAAACACCTCGCCCTCATCAAATGTTCCCTACCCTTCCCTCTCTCAAGCCCCCAGGAATTTATCCTCCAGTTAGGAATGCAGGCAGAACAAACATTGCATTTTTCCTGAGAAGGATGTCAGATTGCCAATCATTTTTCTAGCTTGTAGGAGATCTCAGCTCCATAAAATGAGAGATTAAGAGATTTCACAGAGCCCTGTTTTGGGTCCAGATCCCTTTCGCTGTTGGAGTATCTGGAGTTTGGAGATGGTAGAAGACAGGCGTACAATGTCAGAGCTGTGAGATGCTGAGTCAACGCCTGAATCCAAGGTTTCCACCTCCCCAGGTTTCCAAAAGCGGATATAAGAGGGTTCTGTACTCACCGGTTTTGGAGCTTGGTTCAGTGGGTGAAGGCCAACTATTTGAAGGGTTTCCTAGAACATGAGACAGGAGAGAGGTGAGGAAATGAGGGTGTCTGTCCTCTACTCAGTGGAAATCTTTGAGGTTGGTTCATGGCCAACACTCTGTTATCTAATATTGGGCCCTGGGAGTCCTGGGATCCTTTTTTCCGTAATTTTTGTATGTGACGGCTACTGTCTTGAGACTTCAAGGTATAAAGAGAAAACAGGAGCATCACACTACCTGATCTCAAAATATGTTACAGAGCTGTAGTAAGCAAGACAGCATGACGTTGGCATGAAGAAAGGCACATAGAACAACGGAGCAGAATGAATAACACAGATATAATCCATGCATTTACCTCCAATGTATTTTTTGTTTTTCTTTTGAGATGGAGTCTTGCTCTGTCACCCAGGCTGGAGTGCAGAGGTGCAATCTCGGTTCACTGCCACCACAGCCTCCTGGGTTCAATCACTTCTCTTGCCTCAAACTCCTGAGTAGTGGTATTACAGGTGCTGACCACCATGCTCAGCTAATTTTTATATTTTTAGTGGAGACGATGTTTCATCACGTTGGCCAGACTAATCTTGAACTCTTGGCCTCAGGTGATCCACCCACCTCGGGCTCCCAAAGTGCTGAAATTGCAGGTGTCAGCCACCATGCCCAGCCCATCCAATGGACTTTGACAAAGGTGCCAAGAACTCACAATCAGGAAAGGACAGTCTTTTCAATAAACAGTGCAGGGAAACCTGGACATCGACATGCAGAGGAATGAAACTGCACCTCTGCCTGTCACTATACACAAAAATCAAATGAAAATGGATTAAAGATGTGAGTCTAAGGCCTGAACCTATGAAACACGTAGAAGAAAATATTGGGGAAATGCTCCAGGACGTTTGTCTGAAGGAAGACATTTTGTTTTAAACCTTCAAAACACAAGTAATCGAAGCAAAAATAGACCATTGGGATTACCTCAAACTAAGCAACTTCTGCACCGCTAAAAATAAACCAACAAAGTGAAGAGACAACCCACAGATTGGGAGCAAATATGTGCAAACTATGCATCTGAGATGGGATTAATAACTAGAAATATAAGAAGCTCAAACAACTCAATAAAACAAATGATTTAATTGAAACAGGAGCAAAAGACATGAAATTTCCCCACATACGAAAAAGTGCTCAGTATCACTCATCATCAGAGAAACACAAATTAAAATCAAAGTGAGTTTTCATCTCACCCCATTAAAATGGCTTTTAGGCCGGGCGTGGTGGCTCACGTCTGTCATCCTAGAACTTTGAGAGCCTGAGGTGGGTGAATCTCATAAGGTCGGGAGTTTGAGACCAGTCTGACCCACATGGAGAAACACTGTCTCTACTAAAAATACAAAAATTAGTCGGGCGTGGTGGCGTGTGCCTGTAATTCCAGCTACTCGGGAGGCTGAGGCAGGAGAATCGCTTGAACCTGGGAGGTGGAGGTTGTGGTGAGCCGAGATCGCACCACTGCACTCAGCCTGGGTGACAAGAGCGAAACTCCATCTCAAAATAAAATGAAATAAAATAAAATGGCTTTTAGCTGCAAGACAGGCAAAAGAAATGCTGGCAAGGTGTTAGAGAAAGGAGAATCCTGGTATCCTGTTGGTAGGAGTGTAAATTAGTACAGCCATTACGGAGAAAAGTGTGGAAGTCCTTTAAAGAACTAAAAAGAGGTTGGGTGAGGTGGATCATGCCTGTAATCCCGGCACTTTGGGAGACCGAGGCGGGCACCTCAGTTGAGGTCATGAGTTTGAGAGCAGCCCAGCCAACATGGGGAAACCGCATCTATACTAAAAAAAACAAAAAGTAGCCAGGCATGGTGGCGTGCGCCTATAATCCCTGATACTAGGGAGGCTGAGGCAGGAAAATCATTTGAACCCAGGAGGCAGAGGTTGCAATGAGCCAAGATGACATCACTTGTACTCCAGCCTGGGCACAGAGGGAAACTGTCTCAAAAACAAAAACAAAACAACAAACGAAAAACTAAAAAGAGAACTTTCATAGTATCCAGCAATTTCACTACTGGGTTTATATCCAAAGGAAAGTAAATCAATATATCGAAGTGATATCTGCACTCGTATGATTGGTGCAGCACTCTTCACAGTAGCCAAGATGAGGAGTCAACCTACCTGCCCATCAGTGGGTGAATGGATAGAGAGAATGTGGTACATTTGCATAGTGGAGACTACTCTTCCATAGAAAGAAAAACATCCTGATATTTGCAGCCACATGGATGGAACTGGAGGTCATTACAAAGATTCCCATTTCTTACCCATATACAGGAGCTAAAAGGTGGATCTCATGAAGGTAGAGAGTAGAATGGTGGCTACCAGAGGCCAGGAAGAAAAGGGTGGAGGGTAAAAAAAAATATGTGTATATATATATATATTAATGTATTTATGACCACTAGACTTTACACTTAAAAATGGTAAATGTGGCTGGGCGTGGTGGCTCATGCCTGTAATCCCAGCACTTTGGGAGGCTGATGCGGGTGGATCACGTGGTCAGGAGTTCGAGACCAGCTTGACCAACATGGTGAAACCCCCTCTCTACTAAAAATACAAAAAGTAGCCTGGCATGGTGGTGCGCGCCTGTAGCACCAGCTACTCAGGTGGCTGAGGCAAGAGAATCGCTTGAACCCAGGAGGCGGAAGTTGCAGTGAGCTGAGATTGTGCCAATGCACTCCAGCATAGGGGACAGAGCTAGACTCCGCCTCAAAAAAAAAATGTTAAAGGTGGTAAGCTATATAGGTATATTTATCCTCAATAAATATTTCTCAAACAAAAGTAAAGGGTGTAGGGGTTGCAGGTGATGACATCCCTGTGTGGGTGGGAGGCCAGGATGGGCTTCTGGGAAATGGGTAATGTTGAGGGGCTGAGGGAACCTCTGATCTTCCCAAACTGAGCCCAGTCTCCCTCCTCTGGGTCTCTCCTGACCGCTTTCTCCATCTGCCTGGGTGCCTGGAGTCCTGGCCGCAGGCCTTCATGCAGGCCATGTAGGAGGGTTTGGAGGTGCCCTGTCTGCCATCCTGTGCCCTGATCCCTCCCTCACACCCAAGCTTCGTCTTCTCTCTGCATCTGTTCATCCTTCTCTCCATCCTCAGCAGGAAGCTCCTCAGCTAAGGCTCTAGGATCATAGGACATGGGACAGCCATGGGCTTTCCTCACCTGTGACAGAAACAAGCAGTGGGTCACTCGAGTTTGACCACTCGTAGGGAGAGTCACGGAAAGAGCCGAAGCATCTGTAGGTTCCTCCGTGGGTGGCAGGGCCCAGAGGAAAGTCAGCCTGGAATGTTCCGTTGACCTTGGGCCCTGCAGAGAACCTACGTTCATGGGCCTCCCCCTCCCTGGATAGATGGTACATGTCATAGGAGCTCCGGGAGCTGCAGGACAAGGTCACGCTCTCTCCTGCCAGAACCGTGGGGCCCGGCTGGGCTGAGAGAGAAGGTTTCTCATATAGACCTGGAAGGAGAAGAGGCATTTTCCTTACGGAGGATCTTCCTTGTCACAGCTCCCTTCACCTGAGCTGAGAACTCACTCCCCTGCTCTATGACCTAATGCTCTCTCTCTCTCTCTCTCTCACCCTCCACCCCATCTCTCTTCATGTCTATTTCCTCCTTCCACCTTCTCTGTCTCTCTAGGTCTCTGACCTCGCTTCCACACCTCTAGATATGTTTTCCCTTTTTGGATTGTTTTATTCTCTCTGACTCTCCTTGGATTGGTTGACTTGATGTTACTTTTTTAAATTCTAAGTTTCTCACTTTGTGTCCTGTTCATAACTTTCTGCATATTTCTATCTATTATCTATCGATCTATCTATTTATCTATTCGGTGCCTATCTACAAATTCTCTACCTGTCATCTATATCTATATATCATCTATGTATCTATCACTTGTCTATCTATCCATCAATCATCTGTTATCTATATCTATGTATCATCTCTCTCTCTATGACTTCTGTCTGCCTCTCTATCTCTATGTATTATCTATCTGTCTTCATCATCATCATCTCTATGTCTCATCTATTAATGAATCAATCAATCATCATCTATGTATCTTTAACCTATTATCTATCATCTACCTATTTATCATCTATCTATATCTATCCATCTATCATCTGTCTTGCTCTGCCTCTCGGTCTCTCTAGTTCTCTTTGGAATCTCTGCAATTCATCCCCACATCTCCATCTTTCTATGTCCTTGTGCCTCTCCCTCAGGAGTCTAATTTTAGTGCTTTTCTCTGCTCCCTTCCATCATTCTCACCACTCCTCTGCCCTCTTTTCTCTCTCTTTATGTGTCTGTGAGTCTCTCAATCTCCTTCCTCTGGCTCATTCTCTGTGTGTTTATGTCTTTGCTTTTTGGTGTCCCTGATTTCTCTCTGTGCCTCTCAGTGATCCTTTCATATGTGGGGTTATTTGGAATGTGAGCCTCAGAATCCAGTCTGGAGACCACAAGTTCACACAGCATACAGGAGTTGGTGTTCTGGGGCCATGATATCCTGGGACGGTTACTCTCCATTACATGGAAGGCAGAGGTGTCAGAATAAACACGGCATCTGTAGGTGCCACAAGGCCTGAGGCCACAGGGCCCAACTCAGGTCAGAAATATGGGTGTCCTTGGGTTCTCCTGGTAGAGAACACTTTGTGGAGGTAAAACAGAAATGAAACTTCTAACCTGTGCCAGGTCTCTGAGCAAAGTCAGCATGGAGGGACACCTCTCTCTGGGACATGTCTGTCTGTCTGTCTCCTTTAACTCCTTCTGTCTTTTCTAACTCCCGGTATGGCCCCTGTGTCTGTCCTCTGTTATGACACCTGGTCTGTACTTGTGTCTCCTGTTTCTCTGTCTCTGTTGGTACAGACCTCACCAAGTCAGTCTCTCTCCATAAGAATACCAAGCTCATCTTCCTTACAACTACCTGGGGGTTCCAAGTCGTGGATCATTCACTCTGCATCCCAATGACAATGAGAAGAATGTCCGGACACTCTCACCTGTGATGACGATGTCCAGAGGGTCACTGGGAGCTGACAACTGATGGGGGAGTGAGTAACAGAACCGTAGCATCTGTAGGTCCCTGCCAGGTCTTCCATCATGGGACCGATGGAGAAGTTGGCCTTGGAAACCCCATCATGGTGCTCTCCAGTGAGGTGCAAAGTGTCGTTAAACTTCCCTTCTCTGTGCAGAAGGAAGTGCTGAAACCTGACATCTGACCAACATTGCAGGATGACTGTCTCTTCTGATTTCACCAGGGGACCTGGGTGGGCCAGGAGGGAAGGTTTTCTGTGGACTCCTAGGAAGAGAGGTTGTGAGTTTAGAAGGTGTCTCTCTTTATCATCCCATCCATGGCACCTAGAATGAGTGAGGCTTCCCCTTGCTGGTGTCTGTCTCTCTCCTTCCTCTCTGTGTCTTCATGTTCTTTTCTGTGCCCATAACTCCTGGTGCAGGTCCTTCCATCTGTCTCCCTCCCTCTTCTCTGTCCCTCTGTCTCTAGTCGCCTCTGATTCCCTTCCCACTGGGCTTAGCCTCATCTCTTGGGGTGTTGTATCTATTTCACACTAATGTCTTTCCTGCTGTTTATGTGGGGGTGAAAGAGGAACCAGGATAGGCTGCACATCCAGCCTCTTATCAGCCTGGTTCAATCTCTTTTGGATGAATTGGAATCCTTGGCAGTAGGTATGAACTGATGAATAAGGCAGGCACCAGTGTCCACACACCCTGTTCCTGGTCGGGACTGGGAGCCACTCTTGCCATGCCTGTGCCTTCTCCATGGTGCCAGCTTCCATAGGCTGGCTCCTGGTGCTGGTTTGAGGAGTATCAACCCCTCCCTATGTGGATGGAGCCTGGTGGTGGCATCATCATCCCACACTTGCTCATCTCGGTGTAGCCAACCTTCCCCTTGTTTGGTTCCTTTAATTAATTAATTAATTATGGAGACAGAGTCTCACTCCTTCACCCCAGCTGGAGTGAAGTGGTGTGGTCTAGGGTCACTGCAACCTCTGTCTCCTGGGTTCAAGTGATTCTCCTGCCCTCAGCCTCCCAAGTCGCTAGGATTACATGCGCCTGCCACCACACCCGGCTATCCTTGTGTTGTTTCTTACCTTGTCCTTGACCTGGGTTCCAGTGTTGGTTTCCTGTTGCTGCTGTAGAAAATTATCAGAAGCATGGCAGCAGGAGAGAGCACACTGACCCATTTCACTACTGGAGACAGAAATAGGACCCTGTTTTTCCTGGGCTAAAATCAAGGCATCTGCAGGGCTTCGTTCCCTCTGGAGACTCTGGAGAATCATTTCCTTGACTTTTCCAACCTCTACAGGCCACCTGCATTCATGGCTCCTGGCCTTCCTCCACCTTCAAAGCTGGTGGAGTCTCCCATTGCGCTGCTCTAATCCCCACTCCCCTCTTCCTCCTCCTTTCATGTGGACCCTTGTGATTACACTGAGCCCAGCGGGACAGTCCAGGCTGTCTCCCCATCTCAAGGTCAACTCATCAACAACCTGAGCTCCATCTTCCCCTTCAGTTCCTTCCCCTATAACATAAATAGTCACAGACTCCAGGGATTAGAATGTAGTCATCACTGGGGACAATTATTCTTCCCACCACAGCACCCATTTCCCTGTATTCAATCCCCCTTTACCCCAAATATAGTCAGGGCCTGGGTGATGGGACCCTCAAGGACACGCCCACCAGAAGCTCTGGGATTCAGGAGGTGGGAAAGGAGAATCCAAGACAGGAGCCCTCTGACCTGTGGCCATGATCACCAGGGTGTTGCTGGGTGCCGACCACCCACTGGGGTAGTGTGGGTGTGAACCCCGACATCTGTACGTCCCTGTGTGTGCTGGGGTCACAGGGCCCATGAAAAGGCTCTTCCAGAATATTCTGTTGTAGAGCTCAGTGCCAGGCACCCCATCTTCCTTTTACAGACTGAAGTTGTTAAACCCAAGATAAGAATGACACCGAAGAATCACATGTCCTGGAGGCACCACAGAGCTGGGCCAGGCAGACAGCAAGGGCTTGTCCTGACCACCTTGGGGAGAAGGAGGCACCGCCTTAGAGAGGAGGATGTGGAGCCACCCCTCCCTCCCTGTGCTCTGAAGATTCTCCTCGCTTTCCAAGTTTCTATGGCTGCTATCACACCTTGGTGCCCAGGGCTAAAGGAAGGACCCATCCCGCAAACACAAGGTGTCTCCCTACAACAAAAGTGTCAGCTGAGAACTTTGAGCAAGTGCTGAGTAAGAGACTCCTACTAGATTTTAATACTGTAAGATTACTCACATAAAACAACACAGGGTAGACATGGGGTGGAGGGCATGTCTTTGAGAATGGAATATCAGCAGATGCCTGAATGAAAATAAGCAACTGAGCCCCCATCAGAGGATTTGGAATGTCAGGGCCATGGCTGTGGTTTCCCACCTCTTCTGGTGGAGTGACAGCAGCCACACTGCAGCCCCTACCGTCATGGAAACGCTGAAGTGTGAGTAACACCTTTGTCCTCAGAGGATCTGCTGTTCCTACCACTTCCCCACCACGCACCCCAGCTTTGAGCACCCCAGTCTAACCCTGGTCCCCACAGAACTTGACTCTGCCAAGGGAATGAAAGGCCAGGGAGGCGAGGTCGGAACTGTGGGCCGAGCACCCCAGGGTCCCCTCTTCCTAGTTTATGAGAGGCTCCCTGACAGGACTTCCCTCCTGTTTCAGGAAAATCCTCTTATGTGGGGAGATGACACCCTAAGGTTTGGAGAAGGACTCACCCTCATGTGGCCAGGCCCCCTGCAGCAAGAAGAACCCTGGAAAGAAAGATCATGATGGACGATCCATCTGCAGGCAAACCAGCCCTCCCTTGCTGCCCTCACTGGGCTGTGAGTCTTGGTAGGCAGGCCCTTCCTGGACTGAAGTTAAACTCACCCTCAGTGCCTACCTGCACCCAAGAACAGGGCTGTCGGCTGTGCAGAGACCCAGCCTCCAAGCCCAGATCCCCACCACAAGCCCATATCCCCACCACAAGCCCATATCTCCACTCCAGGCCAATATTTCCACCCTAGGCCTGTATCTCCACTCCAGGCCCATATCTCCACTCCAGGCCGATATTTCCATCATAGGCCCATATCGCCAATCCAGGCCCATATCGCCAATCCAGGCCAAGATCTCCACTGTAAGCCCATATCTCCAATCCAGGCCCATATCTCCACTCCAGGCTCAGATCTCCAACCTAGGCCCATATCTCCAATCCAGGCCCATATCTCCACACCAGGCCCATATCTCTACTGAAGGCCAGTAACTCCACCTCCAGGCCCATATCTCCACTCCAGGCCCAGATCTCCACCCCAAGCCCATATCTCCACCCCAGGCCCATATCTCTACTGAAGGCCCGTAACTCCACCTCCAGGCCCATATCTCCACCCCAGGCCCAGATCTCCACCCCAAGCCCATATCTCCACTCTAGGCCCATATCTCCTCTCCAGTCCCATATCTCCACAACCAGGCCCATATCTCCATCCTAGGCCCATATTTCCACTCTAGGCCCAGATATCCACCTCTAGGCCCATATCTCCACTCCTGGCCCAAATCTCCACTCCAGGCCCATATCTCTACTATAGGCCTATAACTCCACCTCCAGGCCCATATCTCCACTCCAGGCTCCTATCTCCCCTCCAGGTTCCTATCGGCACTCCAGGCCCAGATCTCCACTTCTAGGCCCATCACTCCATCTCTAGGCCCATATATCCACTCCAGGCCCAGATCTCCACTCCAGGCCCACAACTCCACCTCCAGGCCTATATCTCCACCTCTGGGCCCAGATCTCCAACCCCACACTCCCTTCCTCTATTCCCTTCCAGGACTCACCAACACACGCCATGCTGACGACCGTGAGCGACATGGTGCTGCCGGTGCAGACAGGCGGCCGTGCCCCAGCTCAGCTCAGCAGCGCACAGGATGTTATTTGGCGCCCTGCCCATGCAGTTTACATGTTGACCACATCATGGGAGGGTGACGTACGCAGGCTCATTCTACCTTGCATGAGGCCCAGTGGGTGCTCGCTCAAGAGCGGAACACGGCTTCCTGGAAATTGTTCTCACTAGAATTTACACCTAGCGTCCTTCACTATGACCAACTCAAAACACGTCTCAGATCCAACCTCCTGAACACGAGATGCCTAAAATCTGTGCTAACGTGAAAGACTTTTCATGTATTTTTATTGTTTTTATCTGAGATTCAAACTCTTCTTCATGTGTAATATGCAAAATATTTAATAGGTATTATTAAGGTTTTCAGAGTCATTGTGACTAATAAACCATTAGAATTTTTCATGCTTGTATTTCTAGTATTACAGCAGAACCAGTTAAAATGATTTAAATTCCCAGGGAAGGATTATGCAATTATTTACAATCTTAGAATTGTACTTTATCAGCAAAAACCACACCTGTAAATTCTGGAGTTTTGTAGTTTAATCTAAAATTTGTCTCATGACCCAAGATTCCAGAGTCCCAACTCTGGAGTTTGATCTCTCTCTGTCTCTCTGCCTCCCTCATTTTAAATTTTACAGAAATATCCAGTAACATAATGCTATAGAAAATCAAGTTTCCCCAGCACGTCGGGAAGCCGAGGTGGGCGGATCAACTGAGATGAGGGGATTGAGAGCAGCCTGGCCAACATAGTGAAACCGTGTCTCTGCTAAAAATCCAAAAATTAGCCATGCCTGGTGGCAGGCACCTGTAACGCCAGCTACTCAAGAGGCTGAGGCACGAGAATCGCTTGAACCTGGGAGGCGGAGGTTGCAGTGAGCTGAGATTGTGTCACTGCAGTCCAGCCTGGGCGACAGAGCAAGACTCCGCCTCAAGAAAAAAAAAAGCAAATAGCCTATAATAACAAATTAGAGGGCTCTGGCTACTAAATTTAAAGGGTTCTATAAGGCTACATAAAGTGTAGCATCATCAAGTGTGTGGACACAGACAGCCCCTTAGCAGAAACTGTCTAAAATACATCCATGTACACACAGTCCCTTTAGAGTTGACAAAGGCTGCCGTGTGGTTTAAGGTGGCATAGAATGTCTTCTCAATAAATAATATTAAACCAATGGGTTACACCTAGTAAAAAATAAATCTAACTCACACTATAAAAACACTTCTTAGTTTTTATCTAGTTGTACATTTTTTGATTTATATTTAAATTTGAGAAATAAAAGTCATATACGGTCATCCTTCACTATTCGTGGGTGATTGGTTTCGAGATCTCCACTCAGATACCAAAATCTGTAGATGCTCAAGCCTCTTATATGAAATGGCACAGCGCTTGCAAATAACATATGCACATCCTCCTGTATACATGAAATCATCTCTTGATTACTTATAATTCCTGATACAGCCTACACACAGCTTCATTTGTGTCCATTCAACATAGTTATGAGTTTTGGAACTCTGTGGATATTTTCTCTGAATATTTTTGATTTATACTTTGTTCAATAAAGACCTGTAAACCCCACAGATACGGAGGAGTGACCGTATATTTATAGTATGAAAGATGATGTGTTGATATGTGTCCCCATGGAGATGAGACTAACAAGGCCTATGACTCTACAAATGTTTCATCGTGGAATGACTCTGCCAGCTTTCCAGGTCTGCAGAGAGTAACAATGTCACTTGTTCATGTGATTCCCGATCCTTGGAACCTCCTATGTGCTGCATCTTTGGATGGAAATTGGAGTCCCAGAGACAAATGAGGCTCCACACTGCTTCCAGAAGCTCAGAGTCCAGAGGTGAGAACCCGGTGGAGAACAGATGGGATTATATGGACATGGTACTGATAACACCGGAAGCCTTAGGCAAGAAAAGAGTCCCATTACCTAAACCATGAGGGCAGACATGTTTATTTGAAGGAGGGAAAACTACATTGAAATTATTTTAAAAAATATATAAGTTTTACTGCTGACAGAAGGCTGAAAGCTAGTCTGAGGGGAGGTGGAACAGCATGAGGGAAGGTGGAACAGCACGTGTCTAAGTGCCGTGTTAAGAGGGAGCCTCTTGTATGTTTGGAATTGTGAGTTCCTCAGTGTGATTGCAGCCTCAAGTAGACTAGGAAGTAAGCCAGTTAGGTTGGAGAGGTGGGCAGGGGTCAAGTGAAATGGAGAATTGTGGGCTAAGCAAAGGAGTGTGTTTTCTCTCCAGCAGGCAGTGGGGACCTTAGACATTTGTAAGCAAGGGAGAGGCACGTTCAGATTTGTGGTGTGAGGAAGAGCGATGCCCTAAGATGCAGACTCACGCCTTCAGATTCCAGCTGCTGGTACATTGGAGCTGGCAACCCAGTTTTGAGACAGGGCTGTTGTCTCCCTAGAAGATCCCCTCAAGGCCTGACTGTGGTGCTCATGGGCAGGAGACAACTTTGGATCAGGGCTCAGCATTTGGAAGTTCCGTGTACACGATGATATCTGTTGGGGGTGTCTTGGGCCTCTGAGAAGGGCGAGTGATTTTTCTCTGTGTGAAAACGCAGTGATTCAACTGTGCATATGTCACCTCCTGAGGGTCTTGTTCATCAGAGTCCTGGAGAGAGGGAAATGCTGAGTGAGGGAGGGTGCTCACATTTTCCAGGACTCTTTGGGAATAACACTAGCCACGAGGCTGGGCCGAGGAGCACCTACCTCCCTGTTCACTGTTCTGTTCCCTGCAGGCTCTTGGTCCATTACAACAGCATCTGTAGAAGACGGAAGTCAACAAAACAGCTCAGAGGGCACTTCTGGGCCCTCATTTCATAAGCAGATACCAACATACAGGGGGAGACCATAGGAGCCTGAGGTCCCTCAGTTGCCAACAGCAGACTCAGACATTCTATCTCTCTGAGCTCAAGGACCCATCCCATGAATAGCTCTGAGTTCCCATCCCATTGATTCTGTCTCCCACTTTCTGCCTGTCATGGAACCTTCTCCTGGATGTGAGTGGCTGCAGGGGACATGAGGATACAGTTCAGAATCAGGCAATGGTCTGTGAGCTGAAGGCAGGGACAGGGAGTCTGGTGCTCTCTCTAGAAAGTCCTCCCTCTGTGGCTGCTGCCTTGGGCCAGGGACCATCCTGTCTGTGAGGAACACACACCTGAGTGCTCCCATCCTGCTTCCCCACATGGCCCTGAGCTCTCTGGCCTCTGCTTCGTGAGACTTACTTTTTTTGTTGCAGCACCAGCGATGAAGGAGAAAGAAGAGGAGGAGGATGAAGAGGATGATGACCACTGAGGTCCCAATCAGAACATGCAGGTGTCTGGGGTTACCTGGAAGAAGAGGAGACACCAATAAGAAGCTAATCATAGCAGTTCCTCTTTATGAATTGTCTCACATTTCTTGATTGACAGGTAACCACATACAACACCCCTTTAGGACAAGCACCCAGATGGAGGGAGACCCAGCTTTCTCCTGCTTTCTCAGTTATAGCTCTCATAGTAACCATAGAACGTGTTGAGGATACAACTACTTTAGTTGAGATGTTTGACCCCTTCAAACCTCACATTGAAATTTCACCCCCACTGTGGGAGGTTGGGCCTCTTGAGAGGTGTTTGGGTCATGGAGGTGGATCCATCATGAACAGACCAATGCTGTCCCAAGGAGACGGGGTTAGCAAGTTCCCCTTCTATTAGTTCCTGGAGAGCTGGTTGTTCAAAAGAGCTTGGAAGCTCCATCGCTCCCCCTCCCCCTTGCTCCCTCTCTTGCCGTGTGATCTCTGTGGTCTCTGCACAGACAGACCCTCCTTCCCTTCTGCCAGAGTGGGAGCAGCCTGAGGCCGTCACGAGAAATAGATGCTGGTGCCACGCTTCCAGTACAGCCTGCAGAACTGTGAGGCAAACCAATCTCTTTTCTCTAGAAGTTACCCAGGCTCAAGTGTTCCTTTAGAGCAACAAAAATGGACTAAGACAGCAACGTCCTGAGATCAGGAGGAACGTCTCAGAACAGCCTGGGCTGTCTTCCTGTTCTTCCTGGAGGAGGACGTCATGCAGTGCTTTAGCTGAGTGCTTCCTGTGGCTCCACAGTACAAAACCCAGGCTGGGCTGCTCTCTGGCTTCCCCCAGCTACACTGCAAATGGGGTGACTCCATATGTCCCGAGTAGCTTTTCTGAGCCTTGAGGGACTGGCTCACATTGAAATGTAGGTTTCTGTTGTCACTCGCTGCTTATCTGTTAGTAATGAACCTGCCTGTGTAATGTATTCTCTGTGTGTTCTGTCTCCCTGGAGTGACGGTGAGTGATAGGAATTGGCATAAGCCCAGGTGCAGTCCAGGAGGTATTTAGAGTCTTCTCTGGGAAGACTGCACTGGGATTGATACACAGCGAATGTGCTTTAGGATTTCTACATCCACAGCATTCTTGAATCAAACAACTTGCATTCTCCAAGAAAAGGAAACAAAAGTGAAATCAAGATAAAAAAAGCTAAGTAGAATTCTCTTATGTCAAATGGCCAGGAAATAGTGTTGAAGCCCGTGTGAAACGTGCTACTCTTTGTGATCTCGGGAGACACATGTTAGGCTGCTGTTCTACCCGAGAGGCTGGGGGAAGGACCACCCCCTCGGCCATCTATTGCTTCAATACCACCTGTCCTCCTGTGAATTAGTAGGAAAGGGGAGCAGGAGCTAGTGCTGGCACTGATCTCTGATTCCAAGATCTGGACTCACTCCAAGGAGTATCAATGTTTACCTCCCCATAGCCTATCTGAATCTCCACAGGTGATTGGAAGTAGGGGTGAGGTGGGGGATTTGGGTGAGTGGGCAAGTTTTTTGTTGCGATGAACAGAGCACTTTCTCTATTCCACGATCTGTGCTGGAGGATTCTGAGGGCTTTCACATTTTCTATGTGATCTCATTCTCACAGAAAGCCAAATAGGGAAGAGGTTTTAAGCTCATTGCCTAATGGATAAGATAAAGGATCAAAGAAGTAATTATAGAGAAATAGAAAAACGATGATTGGAATTCAGGTGCCTTTGTCATTCGTGTGTGTTTTATTATATTTATGTATTTCTTATTTTTATTTTTTGAGATAGAGTCTCCTTGTGTCCCCCAGGCTGGAGTGCAGTGATGCAATCTCCACTCACTGCAACCTCCACCTACTGGGTTGAAGTCATTCTCCTGCTTCATCCTCCAGAATAGGAGCTGGGATTACAGGGATGCACCATCGTGCTCGGCTAATTTTTGTATTTTTAGTAGAGATAGGGTTTCACCACGTTGGCCAGGCTGGTCTGGAACTCCTGACTTCATGGAATCCACCCACCTTGGCCTCCTGCAGTGCTAGGTTACAGGCGTGAGCCACTGTTCACAGACTTGTATATTATGCTATAATAAGTCTCTTCATTTCCACCACCACTCATATATCTGTCACTCCTTTGCCAGGTATTGATTTATGTGTAGGATGAATAAATCTCAGAAAGAAATTAATTAAGCGAGGATTAAACAAGTAGGAAAATCAAACCCAGTAAGCGTTTCCAGTCAATGATTCTACCTCACAAACATATCTTATATCCATCTACTTCATTCATTTAGTGTCTAAATCAGCACCACATTTCACCAGTGGGGTGGCAATTGCCTTTTCCACGGTCTCCTAGATTCCAGTTATGCAACTGAGCCTCCCTTATTTTCATGTCAGTCATATTAATCATGTAGGGATTCCTGGTTACCCCGAGGTGAATCCAATGGCTGTGAGTGTCAAACACACACTCCTTGTTGCTCCTTAGTTTCCTGTGTACCCAGTGTGCTCTCCGTCTCTCTACAGTCGTCTTGTCATTCTCCCCACATCATTCCCAGCATTTGAGGCAGAGCCTCTTCCTTCCACATCAGATTGTTTTCACCTTTGTGCCTTCACGGCTGACAGCTGTGTGTGCAAAATCCTTCCGCCAATCTTTCAGGGGTTCAATCCGTGTTTTTCATTAATGTCACAAATATCTGAATAGTGAGACCTTCTTTGTCACCTGAAATCATACACTCAGCATTATCTATTATTGATTTTGAATTCTGGCTGGGCACAGTGGCTCACGCCTGTAGTCCCATTACTTTGGCATGCTGAGACGGTCGGATCACTTGAGGTTGGGAGTTTCAGACAAGCTTGGCCAACGTGGTGAAACATCCTCTCTACAAAAAATATACAAAAAGAATTAGCCGGGCACGGTGGCAGTTGCCTGTAATCCCAGCTACTCGAGAGGCGGAGGCAGGAGAATCACTTGAATCCAGGAGACGCAGGTTGCAGTGAGCCAAGATCGTGACACTGCACTGTAGCCTGGAAGACAGAGGGCGACTCTGTCTCAATAAACAAAAGAACAAACAAAAAATAGATTTCATGCACAGATGCTTCCCAATGGATCATTCATTTATAGATCCACTTGTGCATTCATTTTCTGCCCTCCCATTTAACCATCTGCAATATCAGTGTCCCAAGGGCAGAAGCCAAATGCATCTTGTTCACCGTTTGTGGAAGGCAGGAGAATGCTGTCCCACCCCAAAATGTCCCTGTCCTAGCCTCCATAGCTTGTGAATATGTTATTTTACATGGAAAGGAGGAATGAAGATTGTAGATGGAATTGCGGTTGCTAATCAGCTGAACTTAAAACAAGGGTATCCTGGATGATTTCCAGGAGATTATGAGGGATTTTCATCTTGGTGAACCCAATAGAATCCCCAAGTTTTCAAAAGATAAGGAAGAAGGGAGAGCAGCATTCAGAGAAAGAGGTGTGGTAAGGAAGAAGGCACTGAGTGATGCCATGTGAGATGTGACCAGTCTTTGTGGGCTTTGAGGAAGGAGGAAGGGGAACAGGAGCCAAGGAACTGGGAGCCTTTAGAAGCTGGGATAAGTGAGAAGCAGATTCTTGCCTGGAATCCTCAGAGGGAAGGCAGCCTTGCTGTCACCTTGATTTTAGCCCAGTAAGATGCACTTCCTACTTTGAGCTACAGCACTGTAAGATAATTAAAAAACCGTTTTGTTTTCACCCACGAATCTTGTGGAAATTTGTTATGGCAACAATAGGAAAAGGTTCCGCACTGCACAGCCTGAGCATGGGGCCGTGGCTGAATGAGTCAGTGAGTCGAAGTGTGCGTGCATGAGCTCCGTTCTCTGTTACGGCAAGGCTGTTGCTCTGCTGAGTCAGCCAGGGTTGCTTCATGACCAACAGTAATTCATTCCTTGGCAAGTGGAACTTCTCTAAAACACCTCGCCCTCATCAGATGTTCCCTTCCCTTCCCTCTCTCAAGCCCCCAGGAATTTATCCTCCAGTTAGGAATGCAGGCAGAACAAACATTGCATTTTTCCTGAGAAGGATGTCAGATTGGCAATCATTCTTCTAGCTTGTAGGAGGTCTCAGCTCCATAAAATGAGAGATTAAGAGATTTCACTGAGCCCTAGGTTGGGCCCAGATCCCTTTCGCTGTTGGAGTATCTGGAGTTCGGAGATGGTAGAAGACAGGCGTACAATGTCAGAGCTGCGAGATGCTGAGTCAATGCCTGCATCGAAGGTTTCTACCTCCCCAGGTTTCCAAAAGCGGATATAAGAGGGTTCTGTACTCACCGGTTTCGGAGCTTGGTTCAGTGGGTGAAGGCCAACTATTTGAAGGGTTTCCTAGAACACGAGACAGGAGAGAGGTGAGGAAATGAGGGTGTCTGTCCTCTACTCAATGGAAATCTTTGAGGTTGGTTCATGGCCAACACTCTGTTATCTAATATTGGGCCCTGGGAGTCCTGGGATCCTTTTTTCCGTAATTTTTGTATGTGACGCCCACTGTCTTGAGACTTCAAGGTATAAAGAGAAAACAGGAGCATCACACTACCTGATCTCAAAATATGTTACAGAGCTGTAGTAAGCAAAACAGCATCACATTGGCATAAAGAAAGGCACGTAGAACAATGGAGCAGAATGAAGAACACAGATATAATCCATGCATTTACCTCCAATGTTTTTTTCTTTTTTCTTTTGAGATGGAGTCTCGCTCTGTCACCCAGGCTGGAGTGCAGAGGTGCAATCTCGGTTCACTGCCACCACAGCCTCCTGGGTTCAATCAATTCTCTGGCCTCAAACTCCTGAGTAGTGGTATTACAGGTGCTGACCACCATGCTCAGCTAATTTTTATATTTTTAGTGGAGACAATGTTTCATCACGTCGGCCAGACTAATCTTGAACTCCTGGCCTCAGGTGATCCACCCGCCTTGGGCTCCCAAAGTGCTGAAATTGCAGGTGTCAGCCACCATGCCCAGCCCATCCAATGGACTTTGACAAAGGTGCCAAGAACTCACAATCAGGAAAGGACAGTCTTTTCAATAAACAGTGCAGGGAAACCTGGACATCTACATGCAGAGGAATGAAACTGCACCTCTACCTGTCACTATACACAAAACTCAAATGAAAATGGATTAAAGATGTGAGTCTAAGGCCTGAACCTATGAAACACGTAGAAGAAAATATTGGGGAAATGCTCCAGGACATTTGTCTGAAGGAAGACATTTTGTTTTAAACCTTCAAAACACAAGTAATCGAAGCAAAAATAGACCATTGGGATTACCTCAAACTAAGCAACTTCTGCACCGCTAAAAATAAACCAACAAAGTGAAGAGACAACCCACAGATTGGGAGCAAATATGTGCAAACTATGCATCTGAGATGGGATTAATAACTAGAAATATAAGAAGCTCAAACAACTCAATAAAACAAACGATTTAATTGAAAAAGGAGCAAAACACATGAAATTTCCCCACATACTAAAAAGTGCTCAGTTTCACTCATCATCAGAGAAACACAAATTAAAATCAAAGTGAGTTTTCATCTCACCCCATTAAAATGGATTTTAGGCCGGGCGTGGTGGCTCACGTCTGTCATCCTAGACCTTTGAGAGCCTGAGGTGGGTGAACCTCATAAGGTCGGGAGTTTGAGACCAGTCTGACCCACATGAAGAAACACTGTCTCTACTAAAAATACAAAATTTAGTTGGGCGTGGTGGCGTGTGCCTGTAATTCCAGCTACTCGGGAGGCTGAGGCAGGAGAATCGCTTGAACCTGGGAGGTGGAGGTTGTGGTGAGCCGAGATCGCACCACTGCACTCCAGCCTGGGTGACAAGAGCGAAACTCCATCTCAAAATAAAATGAAATAAAATAAAATGGCTTTTAGCTGCAAGACAGGCAAAGGAAATCCTGCCAAAGTGGTAGAGAAAGGAGAACCCTAATACCCTGTTGGTAGGAGTGTAAATTAGTACAGCCTTTACGGAGAAAAGTGTGGAAGTCCTTTAAAGAACTAAAAAGAGGTTGGGTGAGGTGGATCATGCCTGTAATCCCGGCACTTTGGGAGACCGAGGCGGGCACCTCAGTTGAGGTCATGAGTTTGAGAGCAGCCCAGCCAACATGGGGAAACCCCATCTATACTAAAAAAAACAAAAAGTAGCCAGGCATGGTGGCGTGCACCTGTAATCCCAGCTACTAGGGAGGCTGAGGCAGGAAAATCATTTGAACCCAGGAGGCGGAGGTTGCAATGAGCCAAGATGACTTCACTTGTACTCCAGCCTGGGCACAGAGGGAAACTGTCTCAAAAACAAAAACAAAACAACAAACGAATAACTAAAAAGAGAACTTTCATAGTATCCAGCAATTTCACTACTGGGTTTATATCCAAAGGAAAGTAAATCAATATATCGAAGTGATATCTGCACTCGTATGATTGGTGCAGCACTGTTCACAGTAGCCAAGATGTGGAGTCAACCTACCTGCCCATCAGTGGATGAATGGATAGAGAGAATGTAGTACATACGCACAGTGGAGACTACTCATCCATAGAAAGAATAACATCCTGATATTTGCAGCCACATGGATGGAACTGGAAGTCATTACAAAGATTCCCATTTCTCACCCATATACAGAGCTAAAAGGTGGATCTCATGAAGGTAGAGAGTAGAATGGTGGCTTCCAGAGGCCAGGAATAAAAGGGTGGAGGGTAAAAAAAAAAAAAAAAAAAAATATATATATATATATATATATATATATATATATATATATATGTTTATATATGTGTGTGTGTGTGTATATATATATATATATATATATATAAATGTATTTATGACCACTAGACTTTACACTTAAAAATGGTAAATGTGGCTGGGCGTGGTGGCTCATGCCTGTAATCCCAGCACTTTGGGAGGCAGATGCGGGTGGATCACGTGGTCAGGAGTTGGAGACCAGCTCGACCAACATGGTGAAACCCCCTCTCTACTAAAAATACAAAAAGTAGCCTGGCGTGGTGGTGCGCGCCTGTAGCACCAGCTACTCAGGTGGCTGAAGCAGGAGAATCACTTGAACCCAGGAGGCGGAAGTTGCAGTGAGCTGAGATTGTGCCACTGCACTCCAGCATAGGGGACAGAGCTAGACTCTGCCTCAAAAAAAAAAAAAATGTTAAAGGTGGTAAGCTATATAGGTATATTTATCCTCAATAAATATTTCTTCAAACAAAAGTAAAGGGTGTAGGGGTTGCTGGTGATGACATCCCTGTGTGGGTGAGAGGCCAGGATGGGCTTCTGGGAAATGGGTAATGTTGAGGGGCTGAGGGAACCTCTGATCTTCCCAAACTGAGCCCAGTCTCTCTCCTCTGGGTCTCTCCTGACCGTTTTCTCCATCTGCCTGTGTGCCTGGAGCCCTGGCCGCGGGCCTTCATGCAGGCCGTGTAGGAGGGTTTGGAGGTGCCCTGTCTGCCATCCTGTGCCCTGATCCCTCCCTCACACCCAAGCTTCGTCTTCTCTCTGCATCTGTCCATGCTTCTCTCCATCATCAGCAGGAAGCTCCTCAGCTAAGGCTCTAGGATCATAGGACATGAGACAGATATGGGGTTTCCTCACCTGTGACAGAAACAAGCAGTGGGTCACTCGAGTTTGACCACTCGTATGGAGAGTCACGGAAAGAGCCGAAGCATCTGTAGGTTCCTCCGTGGGTGGCAGGGCCCAGAGGAAAGTCGGCCTGGAATGTTCCGTTGACCTTGGGCCCTGCAGAGAACCTACGTTCATGGGCCTCCCCCTCCCTGGATAGATGGTACATGTCATAGGAGCTCCGGGAGCTGCAGGACAAGGTCACGCTCTCTCCTGCCAGAACCGTGGGGCCCGGCTGGGCTGAGAGAGAAGGTTTCTCATATAGACCTGGAGGAGAAGAGGCATTTTCCTTACGGAGGATCTTCCTTGTCACAGCTCCCTTCACCTGAGCTGAGAACTCACTCCCCTGCTCTATGACCTAATGCTCTCTCTCTCTCTCTCTCTCACCCTCCACCCCATCTCTCTTCATGTCTATTTCCTTCTTCCACCTTCTCTGTCTCTCTAGGTCTCTGACCTCGCTTCCCCACCTCTAGATATGTTTTCCCTTTTTGGATTCTTTTATTCTCTCTGACTCTCCTTGGATTGGTTGACTTGATGTTACTTTTTTAAATTCTAAGTTTCTCACGTTGTGTCCTGTTCATAACTTTCTGCATATTTCTATCTATTATCTGTCGATCTATCTATTTATCTATTCGGTGCCTATCTACAAATTCTCTACCTGTCATCTATATCTATATATCATCTATGTATCTATCACTTGTCTATCTATCCATCAATCATCTGTTATTTATATGTATGTATCATCTCTCTCTCTATGATTTCTGTCTGCCTCTCTATCTGTACGTATTATCTGTCTTCATCATCATCATCTCTATGTATTATCTATTAATGAATCAATCAATCATCATCTATGTATCTTTAACCTATTATCTATCATCTACCTATTTATCATCTATCTATATCTATCCATCTATCATCTGTCTTGCTCTGCCTCTCGGTCTCTCTAGTTCTCTTTGGAATCTCTGCAATTCATCCCCACATCTCCATGTTTCTATGTCCTTGTGCCTCTCTCTCAGGACTCTAATTTTAGTGCTTTTCTCTGCTCCCTGCCATCATTCTCACCACTCCTCTGCCCTCTTTTCTCTCTCTTTATGTGTCTGTGAGTCTCTCAATCTCCTTCCTCTGGCTCATTCTCTGTGTGTTTATGTCTTTGCTTTTTGGTGTTCCTGATTTTTCTCTGTGCCTCTCAGTGATCCTTTCATATGTGGGGTTATTTGGAATGTGAGCCACAGAATCCAGTCTGGAGAC
Source organism: Homo sapiens (assembly GCF_000001405.40). Classification (NCBI taxonomy): domain Eukaryota; kingdom Metazoa; phylum Chordata; class Mammalia; order Primates; family Hominidae; genus Homo; species Homo sapiens. Next base: position 647,143 of record NW_003571060.1, on the reverse strand, counting down.
CACAAGTTCACACAGCATACAGGGGTTGGTGTTCTGGGGCCATGATATCCTGGGACGATTACTCTCCATTACATGGAAGGCAGAGGTGTCAGAATAAACATGGCCTGTAGGTGCCACAAGGCCTGAGGCCACAGGGCCCAACTCAGGTCATAAATATGGGTGTCCTTGGGTTCTCCTGGTAGAGAACACTTTGTGGAGGTAAAACAGAAATGAAACTTCTAACCTGTGCCAGGTCTGTGAGCAAAGTCAGCATGGAGGGACACCTCTCTCTGGGACATGTCTGTCTGTCTGTCTCTTTTAACTCTTTCTGTCTTTTCTAACTCCCTGTATGGCCCCTGTGTCTGTCCTCTGTTATGACACCTGGTCTGTACTTGTGTCTCCTGTTTCTCTGTCTCTGTTGGTACAAACCTCAGCAAGTCAGTCTCTCTCCATAAGAATACCAAGCTCATCTTCCTTACAACTACCTGGGGGTTCCAAGTCGTGGATCATTCACTCTGCATCCCAATGACAATGAGAATGTCCGGACACTCTCACCTGTGATGACGATGTCCAGAGGGTCACTGGGAGCTGACAACTGATAGGGGGAGTGAGTAACAGAACCGTAGCATCTGTAGGTCCCTGCAAGGTCTTGCATCATGGGACCGATGGAGAAGTTGGCCTTGGAGACCCCATCATGGTGCTCTCCAATGAGGTGCAAAGTGTCCTTAAACTTCCCTTCTCTGTGCAGAAGGAAGTGCTGAAACCTGACATCTGACCAACATTGCAGGATGACTGTCTCTTCTGATTTCACCAGGGGACCTGGGTGGGCCAGGAGGGAAGGTTTTCTGTGGACTCCTAGGAAGAGAGGTTGTGAGTTTAGAAGGTGTCTCTCTTTATCATCCCATCCATGGCACCTAGAATGAGTGAGGCTTCCCCTTGCTGGTGTCTGTCTCTCTCCTTCCTCTCTGTGTCTTCATGTTCTTTTCTGTGCCCTTAACTCCTGGTGCAGGTCCTTCCATCTGTCTCCCTCCCTCTTCTCTGTCCCTCTGTCTCTAGTAGCCTCTGATTCCCTTCCCACTGGGCTGAGCCTCATCTCTTGGGGTGTTGTATCTATTTCACACTAATGTATTTCCTGCTGTTTATGTGGGGGTGAAAGAGGAACCAGGATAGGCTGCACATCCAGGCTCTTATCAGCCTGGTTCAATCTCTTTTGGATGAATTGCAATCCTTGGCAGAAGGTATGAACTGATGAATAAGGCAGGCACCAGTGTCCACACACCCTGTTCCTGGTGGGGACTGGGAGCCACTCTTGCCATGCCTGTGCCTTCTCCATGGTGCCAGCTTCCATAGGCTGGCTCCTGGTGCTGGTTGGAGGAGTATCAACCCCTCCCTATGTGGATGGAGCCTGGTGGTGGCATCATCATCCCACCCTTGCTGATCTCAGGGTAGCCAACCTTCTCCTTGTTTGGTTTCTTTAATTAATTAATTAATTATGGAGACAGAGTCTCACTCCTTCACCCAGGCTGGAGTGAAGTGGTGTGGTCTAGGCTCACTGCAACCTCTGTCTCCTGGGTTCAAGTGATTCTCCTGCCCTCAGCCTCCTGAGTCGCTAGGATTACATGCACCTGCCACCATGCCTGGCTTTCCTTGGGTTGTTTCTTAACTTGTCCTTGACCTGGGTTCCAGTGTTGGTTTCCTGTTGCTGCTGTAGAAAATTATCAGAAGCATGGCAGCAGGAGAGACCACACTGACACCTTCCAGTACTGGAGACAGAAATTGGACCCTATTTTTCCTGGGCTAAAATCAAGGCATCTGCAGGGCTTTGTTCCCTCTGGAGACTCTGGAGAATCAGTTCCTTGACTTTTCCAGCCTCTATAGGCCACCTGCATTCATGGATCTTGGCCTTCCTCCACCTTCAAAGCTGGTGAAGACTTCCACTGGACTGCTCTAATCCCCACTCCCCTCTTCCTCCTCCTTTCATGTGCACCCTTGTGATTACACTGAGCCCAGTGGGACAGTCCAGGCTGTCTCCCCATGAGCTCCATCTTCCCCTTCAGTCCCTTCCCCTATAACATAAATAGTCACAGACTCCAGGGATTAGAATGTAGTCATCACTGGGGACAATTATTCTTCCCACCACAGCACCCATTTCCCTGTATTCAATCCCCCTTTACCACAAATACAGTCAGGGCCTGCGTGATGGGACCCTCAAGGACATGCCCAACAGAAGCTCTGGGATTCAGGAGGTGGGACAAGGAGAATCCAAGACAGGAGCCCTCTGACCTATGACCACGATCACCAGGGGGTTGCTGGGTGCTGACCACCCACTGGGGGAGTGTGTGTGTGAACCCCGACATCTGTATGTCCCTGTGTGTGCGGGGGTCACAGGGCCCATGAAAAGGCTGTTCCAGAATATTCTGTTGTAGAGCTCAGGGACAGGCACCCCACCTTCCTTTTACAGACTGAAGTTGTTAAACCCAAGATAAGAGTGACACCGAAGAATGACATGTCCTAGAGGCACCACAAGGCTGGGCCAGGCAGACAGCAAGGGCTTGTCCTGACCACCTTGGGGAGAAGGAGGCGCCGCCTTAGAGAGGAGGATGTGGAACTGCCCTTCCCTCCCTGTGCTCAGAAGATTCTCCTCGCTTTCCACGTTTCTATGGCTACTATCACACCTTGGTGCCCAGGGCTGAAGGAAGGACCCATCCCGCAAAGACATGGTGTCTCCCTACAACAAAAGCCTCAGCTGAGAACTTTGAGCAAGTGCTGAGTAAAGAGACTCCTACTAGATTTTAATACTGTAAGATTACTCACATAAAACAACACAGGGTAGACATGAGGTGGAGGGCATGTCCTTTGTGAATGGATATCAGCGGATGCCTGAACGAAAATAAACAACTGAGCCCCCATCAGAGGATTTGGAATGTCAGGGCCATGGCTGTGGTTTCCCACCTCTTCTGGTAGAATGACAGCAGCCACACTGCAGCCCCTACCATCATGGAAACGCTGAAGTGTGTGAGTAACACCTTTGTCCTCAGAGGATCTGCTGTTCCTACCACTTCCCAACCACACACCCCAGCTTTGAGCACCCCAGTCTAACCCTGGTCCCCACAGAACTTGACTCTGCCAAGGGGTTGAGAGGCCAGGGAGGCGAGGTCAGAAATGTGGGCTGAGCACCCCAGGGTCCTCTCTTCCTAGTTTATGAGAGACTCCCCGACAGGACTTCCCTCCTGTTTCAGGAAAATCCTCTTATGTGGGGAGATGACACCCGAAGGTTTGGAGAAGGACTCACCCTCATGTGGCCAGGCCCCCTGCAGCAAGAAGAACCCTGGAAAGAAAGATCATGATGGACCATCCATCTGCAGGCAAACCAGGCCTCCCTTGCTGCCCCCACTGGGCTGTGAGTCTTGGCAGCCAGGCCCTTCCTGGGCTGAAGTTAAACTCACCCTCAGTGCCTACCTGCACCCAAGAACAGGGCTGTCGGCTGTGCAGAGACCCAGTTTCCAGGCCCATATCCCCACCCCAAGCCCATATCTCCACTCCAGGCTGATATTTCCACCCTAGGCCCATATCGCCAATCCAGGCTCAGATCTCCACCCTAGGCCCCTATCTCCAATCCAGTCCCATATCTCCGCCCCAGGCCCAGATCTCCACCCTAAGCCCATATCTCCACTCCAGGCCCATATCACCTCTCCAGTCCCATATCTCCACACCCAGGCCCATATCTCCTTCCTAGGCCCATATCTCCACTCCAGGCCCAGATATCCATCTCTAGGCCCATAACTCCACTCCTGGCCCATATCTCCACTCCAGGCCCATATCTCTACTGCAGGCCCGTATCTCCACCTCCAGACCCATATCTCCACTCCAGGCCCATATCTCCACCTCCAGGCCCATATCTCCACCTCCAGGCCCATATCTCCACTCCAGGCCCATATCTCCACTCCAGGCCCCTATCTCTACTGCAGGCCCATATCTCCATCTCCAGGCCCATATCTCCATCTCCAGGCCCATGTCTCCACTACAAGCCCATATCTCTACTGCAGGCCCATATCTCAACCTCCAGGCCCATATCTCCACTCCAGGCCCAGATCTCCACTCCAGGCCCAGATCTCCACTTCTAGGCCCATCACTCCATCTCTAGGCCCATAACTCCACTTCCAGGCCTATATCTCCAACTCTGGGCCCCGATCTCCATCCCCGCACTCCCTCCCTCGATGCCCTTCCAGGACTCACCAACACACACCATGCTGACGACCATGAGCGACATGGTGCTGTCTGTGCAGACAGGCGGCCGCGCCCCAGCTCAGCTCAGCAGCGCACAGGATGTTATTTGGCGCCCTGCCCATGCAGTTTACATGTTGACCACATCATGGGAGGGTGACGTACGCAGGCTCTTTCTACCTTGCATGAGGCCCAGTGGGTGCTCGCTCAAGAGCGGAACATGGCTTCCTGGAAATTGTTCTCACTAGAATTGACACCTTGCGTCCTTCACTACGACCAGACTCAAAAGACGTCTCAGATCCAACCTCTCATACACGAGATGATTGAATTCTGTGCTTACATTAAAGATTTTTGATGTATTTTTGTTTTTATCTGAGATTCAAACTCTTCTTCATATGTAATGTGCAAAATGTCTAACAGGTATTATTAACATTATCAGAGTAATTGTGACAAGAAGCCATTCTAATTTTCCTGCTTGAGTTTCTACTACTAAACCAGAGGCATCAGAATAGCTTGAACCTGGGAGACGGAGGTTGCAGTGAGCTGAGCTCAAGCCACTGAACTCCAGCTTGGGTGACAGAGGAAGAGTCTGTCTCAAGAAAAAAAAAAAAGCAAACTAAATAACCTATAATAACAAATCAGAGGACTCAGGTTACCAAATTTTAAGGGGTTCTATAAGTTTATATAAAATGCAGCATCCTCATGAGAGGGGATACAGAGAACCACTGGACAGAAAACTGTGTCTAAAATACATCTGTGGATACACAGTCCCTTTATAGTTGACAAAGGCTGCCATGTAGTTTAAGGTGGAATAGAATATTTTCTCAACAAATAACACAGGACCATAGGGTTACACGTAGGAAAAAATAAATCTAAACTTATCCTCACACTATAAAAACACTTCTTATTTTTTATCTTGTTGTTGTAAATTTTTTATGCTTTATTTTTAAGATTGACAAATAAAAATTATATACCATGGTCCTTCACTATACCTGGGTGATTGGTTCCAGGATCCCCATTCAGATACCAAAATCTGCAGATGCTCAAGCCCCTTGCATGAAATGGCATAGTGAAGCTGGGCACCGTGGCTCACGCCTGTAATCCCAGCACTTTGGGAGGCTGAGCTGGGTAGATCACAAGGTCAGGAGTTCAAGACCAGCTGGTCCAACATTCTGAAACCCCATCTCTACTAAAAATATACACACAAAAAAATTTATCTGTGCAGGGTGGCACGTGCCTGTAATCCTAGGGGAGGCTACTGGGGAGGCTGAGGGAAGAGAATCGCTTGAACCTGGAAGGCGGAGGTTGCAGTGAGTTGAGATCACGCCACTGCACTCCAGCCTGGGTGAGAGAGTGAGACTGTCTCAAAAAAAAAAAAAATAGCATAGCAATTGCATAGAACCCATGCACATCCTCCTGTATACATGAAATCATCTCTTGATTACTTATAATTCCTGACACAGCCTACACGCCACTCAATTTGTGTCGATTCAACATAGTTTTTTGCTTTTTGAAACTTCGGGGATTTTTTTTCTCAAAATATTTTTGATTTATTGCTGATTCAATAAACATGTGTAAACCCCAGAGATATGGAGGAGTGACTGTCTATTTATAGTAGTATGAAAGATGATGTGTTGATACGTGTCCCTGTGGAGATGAGACTAACAAGGCCTATGACTCTACAAATGTTTCATCGTGGAATGACTCTGCCAGCTTTCCAGATCTGCAGAGAGTAAGAATATCACTTGTTCATCTGATTCACCATCCTTGGAACCTCCTATGTGCTGCATCTTTGGATGGAAATTGGAGTCTCAGAGACAATTCAGGCTCCACCCTGCTTCCAGAAGCTCAGAGTCCAGGGGTGAGAACCCAGCGGAGAACAGATGGGGTTATGTGGACGTGGTAATGATAACACCGGAAGCCTTAGGCAAGAAAAGAGTCCCATTGACGAAACCATGAGGGCAGACATGTTTACTTGAAGAAGAGAAAACTACATTGAAATTATAAAAAAAATTTATAAGTTTTACTGCTGACAGAAGGCTGAAAGATACTCTGAGGAAAGGTGGAATAGCACGTATCTAAGTGCCGTGTTAAGAGGGAGCCTCTTATATGTTTGGAATTGTGAGTTCCTCAGTGTGATCGCAGCCTCAAGTAGACTAGGAAGTAAGCCAGTTAGGTTGGAGAGGTGGGCAGGGGTCAAGTGAAATGGAGAATTGTGGGCTAAGCAAGTGTGTTTTCTCTCCAGCAGGCAGTGGGGACCTTAGACATTTGTAAGCAAGAGAGAGGCATGTTCAGATTCGTGGTGTGAGGAAGAGCGATGCCCTAAGATGCAGACTCACGCCTTCAGAGTCCAGCTGCTGGTACATGGGAGCTGGCAACCCGGTTTTGAGACAGGGCTATTGTCTCCCTAGAAGATCCCATCAAGGCCTGACTGTGGTGCTAGTGGACAGAAGACAACTTTGGATCTGCGCTCAGCATTTGGAAGTTCCGTGTTACACGCTGGTATCTGTTGGGGGTGTCTTGGGCCTCTGAGAAGGGCGAGTGATTTTTCTCTGTGTGAAAACGCAGTGATTCAACTGTGCGTATGTCACCTCCTGAGGGTCTTGTTCATCAGAGTCCTGGAGGGAGGGAAATGCTGAGTGAGGGAGGGTGCTCACATTTTCCAGGACTCTTTGGGAATAAGACTAGCCACGAGGCTGGGCGGAGGAGCACCTACCTCCCTGTTCACTGTTCTGTTCCCTGCAGGCTCTTGGTCCATTACAACAGCATCTGTAGAAGACGGAAGTCGTCAAAACAGCTCGGAGGGCACTTCTGGGTCCTCATTTCATAAGCAGATACCAACATACAGGGGGAGGCCATAGGTGCCTGAGGTCCCTCAGTTGCCAACAGCAGACTCAGACATTCTATCTCTCTGAGCTCAAGGATCCATCCCATGTATAGCTCTGAGTTCCCATCCTATTGATTCTGTGTCCCACTTTCTGCCTGTCATGGAACCTTCTCCTGGATGTGAGTGGCTGCAGGGGATGTGAGGATACGGTTCAGAATCAGGCAATGGTCTGTGAGCTGAAGGCAGAGGCAGGGAGTCTGGTGCTCTCTCTAGAAAGTCCTGCCTCTGTGGCTCCTGCCTTGGGCCAGGGACCATCCTGCCTGTGAGGAACACACACCTGAGTGCTCCCATCCTGCTTCCCCACATGGCCCTGAGCTCTCTGGCTTCTGCTTCGTGAGACTTACTCTTTTTGTTGGCACACCAGCGATGAAGGAGAAAGAAGAGGAGGATAGCAAAGGGGATGATGACCACTGAGGTCCCAATCAGAACGTGCAGGTGTCTGGAGTTACCTGGAGGAAGACAAGACACCAATAAGAAGCTAATCATAGCAGTTCCTCTATATGAATTGTCTCACATTTCTTGATTGACAGGTAACCACATACAACGTCTCTTTAGGACAAGCACCCAGATGGCGGGAGACCTAGCTTCCTCCTGCTTTCTCAGTTGTAGTAACCATAGAACGTGCTGAGGATACAACTGCTTTAGTTTAGATGTTTGACCCCTTCAAACCTCACATTGAAATGTAACCCCCAGGGTGGGAGGTTGGGCCTCTTGGGAGTTGTTTGGGTCATGGAGGTGGATCCATCATGAACAGATCAATGCTGTTCCAAGGAGACGGGGTTAGCAAGTTCCCCCTCTATTAGTTCCTGGAGAACTGGTTGTTAAAAGAGCTTGGAAGCTCCATCGCTCCCCCTCCCCCTTGGTCCCTCTCTTGCCGTGTGATCTCTGTGGTCTCTGCACAGACAGACCCTCCTTCCCTTCTGCCAGAGTGGGAGCAGCCTGAGGCCGTCACAAGAAATAGATGCTGGTGCCATGCTTCCAGTACAGCCTGCAGAACTGTGAGGCAAACACATTTCTTTTCTTTAGAAGTTACCCAGGCTCAAGTGTTCCTTTAGAGCAACAAAAATGGACTAAGACAGCAACGTCCTGAGATCAGGAGGAACATCCCAGAACAGCCTGGGCTGTCTTCCTGTTCTTCCTGGAGGAGGACGTCATGCAGTGCTTTAGCTGAGTGCTTCCTGTGGCTCCAGGGTACAAAACCCAGGCTGGGCTGCTTTTTGATTTCCCCCAGATACACTGCATATGGGGTGACTCCACATGTCTCGAGCAGCTTTTCTGAGCCTTGAGGGACTGGCTCACATTGAAATGTAGGTTTCTGTTGTCACTCGCTGCTTATCTGTTAGTAATGAACCTGCCTGTGTAATGTGTTCTCTGTGTGTTCTGTCTCCCTGGAGTGACGGTGAGTGATAGGAATTGGTATAGGCCCAGGTGCATTCCAGGAGGTGTTTAGAATCTTCTCTGGGAAGACTGGATTGGGATTGATACACAGCGAATGTGCTTTACAGTTTCTACCACCACAACCCTCTTGACTCAAAAAAAATTACATTCTCCAAGAAAAGAAAGAAAAAATGAAATCAAGATAAAAAAAGTGAAGTAGAACTGACTTAAATCAAACAGCCATGAAATAATGATGTAGCCCAGGAACAACATGCTACTTTTTGTGATCTGCTGAGACATATATTAGGCTGCTATTCCACCCGAGAAGCACGGGGAAGGACCGCCCTCTCCGTCGTTTATTGTTTCAATACAGCCTGTCCTTCTGTGAGTTAGTACGAAATGTGACCAGGGGCTAGTGCTGGCACTGGTCTCTGAGTCCAAGATCTGAGCTCACTCCAAAGAGTATTAGTGTTTACCTCCCCATGATCTATCTGTATCTCCATAGGTGATTGGAAGTAGAGATGAATTGGGGGATTTGGGTGAAGGGGCAAGTTTTATGCCATGAACAGAGCACGTTCTCTATTCCAGGACCTGTGCTGGTGGGTTCAGGAGGCTTTCACATTTTCCATATGATCCCAAGCTCACAGAAAGCCAAATAAGGAAGAGGTTTAACCTGATTGTTTAATGGATAAGATAAAGGGTCAAAGAATTAAACACAGAGAAATAGAAAAATGATGGTTGGTATCCAGTTGCCTTTGTAATTTCTGTGTGTCATAATTATGTATGTTTTATTTTTATTTTTTGAGACAGAGTCCCCCTGTGTCAGGCTGGAGTGCAGTGATGCGATCTCAGTTCAACCTCTGCCTCCAGGGTTGAAGCCATTCTTCTGCTTCAGCCTCCCCAGTCGCTGGGATTACAGGCAGGTGCCAATGCACCAGGCTAATTTTTGTATTTTTAGTACAGACGGGGTTTCACCATGTTGGCCAGGCTGGTCTCAAACTCCTACCCTTAAGTGATCTACCCGCCTTGGCCTCCCAAAGTGTTGGGTTACAGGTGTGAGCCCCCATCCACAGTCTTGTATATTATATTATACTAGGTCCCTTCATTTGCACCACCCCTCATGTGTCTATCGCTCCTCTGCCAGGTATTGATTTAGATGTAGAAAAAAAACACATCTCAGAAAGAAATTAATGAAACAAGGATTAAACTACTAGGAAAAATCAAACCCAGCAAGCCCTCCCTGCAAATGATTCTACCTCACAAGCATAGCTTATATCCATCTTTCATTCATTTAGTGTGTAAATCAACCCTACGTTTCACCAGTGGGGCGGGAATTGCCTTTTCCACGGTCTCCTAGATTCCAGTTACGCACCTGGGCCTCCCTTATTTTCATGTCGGTCACTGTTAATCAGGTAGGGATTCCTAGTTAGCTCTGAGTTGAATCCAAGGGCTGTGAGTATCAAAAACATGCTCCTTGTTCCTCCTTAGTTTCCTGTGTACCCAGTGTGCTCTCCATCTCTCTACAGTTGTCTTGTCATTCTCCCCATCTCATTCCCAGCATTTGAGGCAGAGCCTCTTCCTTGAACTAAGAATGTTTCCACCTTTGTGCCTTCACGGCTGAGAGCTCAGTGTGGAAAATCCTTCCGCCAATCTTCCAAGGGTTGAATCCATTTTTTCCATTAAGGTCACAAATATTATCTGATCAGTGAGACCTTCTCTGTCACCTGAAATTATATACTCAGCATTATCTATTACTTATTTTAAATCCTGGCTGGGCGCAGTAGCTCTCGCCTGTAATCTTTGCACTTAGGGACGCTAAGGCGGTGGGATCACTTGAGATTGGGAGTTTGAGACAGCCTGCACAACATGGTGAAACCTCATTTCTACTAAAAAATATACCAAAAAAATTAGCCGAGTGTGGTGGCGCACAGCTGTAATCCCAGCTACTCGGTAGGCTGAGGCAGGAGAATTGCATGAACCCAGGAGGCAGAGGTTGCAATGAGCTGAGATTGTGCTACTGCACTCCAGCCTGTGGAACAGAGAGAGACTCTACTCAAAAAAAAAAAAGAAAACAAAAAACACACACACACACAAAAAACCCCAGATTTGGTGCACAGATGCTTCCCAATGGATCATTCATTTATTGGTACCCTTGTGCATTCATTCTCTGCCCTCGCATTTACCCATCTGCAATATCAGCGTCCCAAGAGCAGAGGCCAAATGCATCCTGTTTACCATTTGTGGAAGGCAGGAGAATGCTGCCCCACCCCCAAAATGTCCCTGTCTTAGCCTCCATAGCTTGTGAATATGTTATTTTACAGGAAAGGAGGAATGAAGATTGCAGATGGCATTACGGTTGCTAATCAGCTGAACTTAAAAAGAGGGTACGCTGGATGATTTTAGGGAGATTGAGATGGATTATCTTGGTGACCCCAATAGAATCCCAAAGTCCTTAAAAGATGAGGAAGAAGGCAGAGCAGGATTCAGAGAAAAAGGTATGGGTAAAGAAGAAGAGTCTGAATGATGCCATGTGAGACGTGACCAGCCTTTGTGGGCTTTGAGGAAGGAGGAAGGAGGAAGGGGACCAGGGGCCCAGGAACGTGGGAGCCTCTAGGAGCTGGGAAACGTTAAGGAGCAGATTCTTGCTTGGAACCTTAAAAAGAAATCCAGCCTTACTGTCCCTTTGATATCAGCCCAGTGAAATGCAGTTCATACTTCTGAGTTACAGCACTGTGAGATAATTAAGAAAAACATGTTTTCATCCACGAAGCTTGTGGAAATTTGTTATGGCAACAATAGGAAAAGATTCCACACTGCACAGCCAGAGCATGGGGCATTGGCTGAACGAGTGAGTGAGTGGAAGTGTCGTGTGCATAAATAAGCTAAATTCTCTCTTACTGCACGTCTCTTGCTCTGCTGAGTCAACCAGGGTTGCATCTGGTACACTGCTGATACGAATGCAAATTAGTACAGCCATTACAGAGGAGAAGAGTATGGAAGTTCCTCAAAAAATAAAATGAGGTCGGGCACAGTGGTTCATGCCTGTAATCCCAGCACATTGGGAGGCCGAGGTGGGTAGGTCACTTGAGGTCAGGAGTTGAAGAGCAGCCTGGCCAATATAGCGAAACTCTGTCTCTACTAAAAATATAAAAATTAGCCGAGTGTGGTGGTGGGAGCCAGTAACCCAGCTACTTGGGAGGCTGAGGCTGGGGAATCTCTTGAATCCTGGAGGTGGAGGTTGCAGTGAGCCCAGATGGCACCACTGCACTCCAGCCTGGGCAACAAGAGTGAAACTGTCTAAAAAAAACAAAAACAAAAACAAAAACCATAAAACAAAATGTAAAAAGACACTTCCAGAGGATCTAGCAATTCCATGACTGGGTGTAAACCCAAAGGAAAGGACATCAGCGTATCGAAGTGACATCTGCACTCCCATGACTGTTCCAGCAGTGTTCACAGTAGCCAAGATGTGGATCAACCTACCTGCCCATCAGTGGGTGAATGGATGGAGAGAATGTGGTACACACACACAATAGGGACAACTCATCCATAGAAAGAGTAACATCCTGTCATTTACAGCCACATGAATGGAACTGGAGGTCATTACAAGTATTTCCATTTCTCACTCATATGCAGGAGCTAAAAGGTGGATCTCACAAAGGTAGAGAGTAGAATGGTGGCTACCAGAGGCCAGGAAGGGAAGGGTGGAGGGTAAAAAAAAAAGAATACTAATTAATTAATTAATTAATTTTGAGAGAGTGTCTCTCTCTGTTGCCCAGGCTGCAGTGCAGTGGCATGATCTCAGCTCACTGCAACCTCCGCCTCCTGCAATTAAGTGCAACTCCTGCCCAACCCTCCCAAGTAGCTGGGACTACAGGCATGTGCCACCATGCTCGGCTAATTATTATCATTATTATTATTATTTTGTATTTTTAGTACAGATGGATTTTCCCCATGTTGGCCAGGGTGGTCTTGAGCCCCTGATCTCAAATGATCCACCTGCCTTGGCCTCTCAAAGTGTTGGGATTACAACAGTGAGCCACCGTGCCCAGCCTATAAATGTATTTATGAACAGTAGACTTCACACTTAAAAATGGTAAAGGTGGTAAATTACATAGGTATATTTCACCTCAATAAATATTTCTTCAAACAAAAAGAAAAGGGTGTAGGCGTTGCTGGTGATGACATCTCTCTGTGGGTGACAGGCCAGGATGGGCTTCTGGGAAGTGGGTAAGGTTGAGGGGCTGAGAGAACCTCTGATCTCCCCAGGCAGAGCCCAGTCTCCCTCCTCTGGGTCTGTTCTGACCTCTTTCTCCATCTGCCTGGGTGCCTGGAACCCTGATCAAGGGCCTCCTTGCAGGCCATACAGGAGGGTTTGGAGGTGCCCTGTCTGCCATCCTGCCCCCTGACCCCGCCCTTACACCCATGCTGTGTGTTCTGTCTCGGCATCTGTCCATGCTTCTCTCCATCATCAGCAGGAAGCTCCTCAGCTATGGCTCTAGGATCACAAGACATGGGACAGGCATGGTGTTTTCTCACCTGTGACAGAAACGGGCAGTGGGTCACTCGGGTCTGACCACGCGTGGGGCAGGGCACGGAAAGAGCCGAAGCATCTGTAGTTCCCTCCGTGGGTCACAGGGCCCAGAGGGAAGTTGGCCTGGAATGTTCCATTGACCCTCAGCACCGCAGTGAGCCTAAGTTCACCGGCCTCTGCCTCCCTGGATAGATGGTAAATGTCAAACAAGCTCCGGGAGCTGCAGGACAAGGTCACATTCTCTCCTGCCTGAACCGTGGGGCCCGGCTGGGCTGAGAGAGAAGGTTTCCCATATAGACCTGGAAGGAGAAGAGGTGGTTTCCTCAGGGAGGTTCTTCGTTGTCACAGCTCTCCTCACACCTGAGCTGAGAACTCACTCCCCTGCTCTATGACTTAATGCTCTCTTTCTCTCTCTCACCCTCCACCCCCATCTCTCTTCATGTCTATTTCCTCCTTCCACCTTCTCTGTCTCTCTAGGTCTCTGACCTCACTTCTCCATCCCTAGCTATGTTTTCTTTTTTTGTACCATTTTATTCTCTCTGACCCTCCTTGGACTGGTTGACTTGATCTTCCTCTTTCTTTAATTCTGAGTCTCTCACTTTCTGTCTTGCTCATAACTTTCTGCATATTTCTATCTACTATCTATTGATCGATCTATCATTTATCTATGTATGTATCTATCATCTATCATCATCTGTGTATCTATGACCTATCTCTCTGTTATCTATCATCTATCAATCAATGTATGTATGTATGCATCTATCCATCTATCATCATGTGTTTATCTTTCTATCTCTCTATATCTATTTATATATCATCTGTCTGTCTTTCTACTTGTCTATCTATATCATCTATCAGTCATTCATCATCTATTTGTCTATCACCTGTCTCTCTATTATCTATCATCTACCTTTTATCTTTCATCTATCTATATCTATCTATCCATCTATCATCTGTCTCTCTCCATCTCCTTGTCTTTCTCTGCCTCTCAGTCTCTCTAGTTCCCTTTTGGAGTCTCTGCAATCCATCCCCACATCTTTATCTTTCCCTGTCTTTGTGCCCCTCCCTCAGGGCTCTGATTTTAGGGCTTTTCTCTGCTTCCTTCCATCATACGCTCCACTTCTCTGCCCTCTTTTTCTATCTCTTTATGTGTCTGTGAGTCTCTCAATTCCCTTCTTCTGGCTCATTCTGTGTGTGTGTTCATGTCTTTGCTTTTTGATTTCCCTGATTTCACTCCGTGTCTCTCTGTGGGCTTTTGTTCTCAGTAATCCTATAACATGTGGTGCTATTTGAATATGAGCCTCAGAATCCAGTATGGGGACTCCAGGAACTCACAACATACAGGGGTTGGTGTTCTGCTCCCTCACCTGGGGCCATGGTGTCCTGCGACGACGACAGCTCCACTGCACGGAAGGCAGAGGTTTAAGAATAAACACAGCATCTGTAGGTGCCACCAGCCTGGGGCCACACGGCCCAACTCAGGCCAGATAGATGTGTCTCTTTGGGTTCTCCTGGGAGAGAACACTTTGTAGAGGTAAAACAGAATGGAACCTTCTAACCTGTGCCTGGTCTCTGAACAAAGTCAGCATAGAAGGACACCTCTCTCTGGGATATATCTGTCTCTCTGTGTCTTCTTTACCTCTTTATCTCTTTTTCTAACACCTTGTATGGCCCCTGTGTCTGGCTTCTATGTTATGACATGAGGTCTGTACTTGTGTCTCCTGTTTCTCTGCCTTTGTTGGTACAGACCTCACCAAGTCACTTTCTCTCCATAGGAACCCCACACTCATCTTCCTCATGACCACCTGGGGCTTCCAGTCCTAGATCATTCACTCCATCTCCCAGCAAGGGTGAGAGGCAGGTCTGTATTCTCTCACCTACGACCACGATGTCCAGAGGGTCACTGGGAGCCGACAACTCATAGGGTAAGTGAGTGACAGAACCAAAGCATCTGTAGGTCCCTGCAAGGGCAGGTGTCATGGGACCCATGGAATAGTTGACCTGGGAACCCGCATCGTGGAGCTGTCCAATGAGGCGCAAGGGGTCCTCAGTGATCCCCTCTCTGTGCAGAAGGAAGCGCTCAAACCTGACATCTGACCAACATTGCAGGATGACCGTCTCTCCCGATTTCACCAGGGGACCTGGGTGGGCCAGGAGGGAAGGTTTTCTGTGGACTCCTAAGAAGAGAGGTTGTGAGTTCAGAAGGCGTCTCCCTTTCTCATCCCATTCATGGGACCTGAAATAAGTGAGGCTTCCCCTCCATGGTGTCTATCTCTCTCCTTCCTCTCTGTGTCTCCGTGTTCTTTTGTGCCCATAACCCCTGTTGCAGGTCCCTCCATCTGTCTCCCTCCCTCTTCCCTGTCTCTCTGTCTCTAGTAGCCCTGATTCCCTTCCCACTGTGCTCAGTGTCACCTCTTATGCTGTTGTATCTGTTTCCCACTAATCTCTTTCCTGGTGTTTATGTGGGGGTGGAAGAGGAACCACGACAGGCTGCATGTCCAGGCTCTTAGCAGCCTGAATCAATCTCTTTTGGACAGATTGGAAAGGCTGGCAGGAGGTACGAACTCATCAGTAAGGCAGGCATCAGTGTCCCTGTTCCTGATGGGGATTGGGAGCCTCTCCTGTCATGTCTGTGCCTTCTCCATGGCCCCAGCTTCCATAGGGTGGCCCCTGGTGCTGGTTCCAGGAGCATCAACCCCTCCCTATGTGGATCGAGCCTGGTGGTAGCATCAGTATCCCACCCATGCTAAAATCAGTGTAGCCAACCTTCTCCTTGTTTGGTTTCTTAACTTGTGCTTCACCTGGGTTCCTGTGTTGGTTTCCTGTTGCTGCTGGAGAAAATTGTCACAAACATGGGGCAGGAGAGAATACAATGACCCCTTCCACTTCTGGAGAACAGAAATCGGACCCAGTTCTCTCTGGGCTAAAATCAAGGCATCTACAGGGCTGTGTTTCCTCTGGAGACTCAGGGAAGAATCAGTTCCCTTGACTTCTCCAGCCCTTAGAGGCCAACTGCCTTTGTGGCTCATGGCCTTCCCCCATCTTCAAAGCCCGCTGTGGCTGATGGAGTCTCCCTCCCACGACGTTGCTCTAACCCCACTTTCCTCTTCCTCCTCCTCTCATGAGGACCCTTGTGATTACTCTGAGCACAGCAGGACAGTCCAGGCTGTCTCCCCATCGCAAGGTCAACCCATCAACAACCTGAGCTCCATCTTCCCCTTCAGTCCCCTGCCCTATGACATAAATAGTCACAGGGTTCATGGATTACCATGTAGCCATCACTGGGGACAATTATTCTTCCCACCACAGCAACTATTTCTCTGTACTGAATCCCCCTTTACCCCAAATACAGTCTGGGCCTGGATGATTGGACCCTGATGGACACCCCCACCAGAAGCTCTGGGATTCAGGAGGTGGGACAGTGAGAAGCCCAGACAGAAAGCCTCTGACCTGTGACCATGATCACCACAGGGTTGCTGGGTGCCGACCACCCAGTGGGGGAGTGTGGGTGTGAACTGCAACATCTGTAGGTCCCTGCATGTGCTGGGGTCACAGGGCCCATGAGAAAGCTGTTCCGGAATATTCTGTTGTAGAGCTCAGGGACAGGCATCCCGTCTTCTTTGGACAGACTGAATTCGTTAAACCCAAGACGAGAGCGACACTGAAGAGTCACATGTTGTCCTTCAGACACCACAGTGCCGGGCCAGGCAGAGAGGAAGGGCTTGTCCTGACCACCTGGGGGAGAAGGAGGCACTACCTTAGAGAGGAGGATGTGGAGCCGCCCCTCCCTCCCTGTGCTCAGAAGATTCTCCCATTTCCACGTTTCTAAGGCTCCTACCACACCTGGGTGCCCAGGGCTACAGGAAGGACCCATCCCGCATAGACATGGCGTCTCCCTACAGCAAGTGTCAGCTGAGAACTTTGAGCAGGTGCTGAAGAAGCGACTCTTACTAGATTTTAACACTGCAAAATTACTTACATAAAAGAACACAAGGTAGACACAGGATGGAGGGCATGATCAGCTAATGCATGAACCATAATAAACAACTGAGCCCCTATTAGAAGATCTGGAATGTCAGGGTCATGACTGTGGTTCCCCCACCTCTTAGGTAGAATGACAGCAGCCACATTGCAGCCCCTACCGTCATGGAAACGCTGGAGGGTGTGAGTTATGCTCTTGTCCTCAGAGGCCTGTTGTTCCTTGCACTGCTTCTCTCCCTTCCTCTGCCGGTGACACCACTTCCTCCCTGCACACCACTCCTTTGAGCACTTCAGTCTCCCCCTGGGTCCCCACAGACTCAGCCAAGGGAAAGAAAGGCCGGGGAGGGCTAGGACAGAACTGTGGCGAAGCTTCCCCTGGCTTCCTTTTCCTAGTTCATGAGAGATTCCCACATGGCTTCCCATGGTCAGCCCATCAGTCAACCCCCTGTGTCGCCTGCCTCCCGTTTCAGGAACATCATCTTATGTGGGGAGATGACAACCTAAGGTTTGGGGGAAGGACTCACCCACATGTGGCCAGGGCCCCTCCAGCAAGAAGAACCCTGGAAAGAAAGATCATGATGGATGATCCATCTGTACATCACCTCCAGGCCCATATCTCCACTCCAGGCCCATATCTCCACTTCCGTCCTATATCTCTACTCCAGGCCCATATCTCCACTCCAGGCCTATATCTCCACCTCTGTCCTATATCTCTACTCCAGGCCCATATCTACACTCCAGGCCCATATCTCCACCTCCAGGCCTGTATCTCCACCTCCAGGCCCGTGTCTCCATTCCAGGCCCATATCTGCACTCCAAGCCAACATCTCCACTCCAGGCCCATATCTCTACTCCAGGCCCATATCTACAGTTCCAGGCCCATATCTCCACCTCCAGGCCCATATCTCCACTCTAGGCCCATATCTCCACCTCCAGGCCCGTATCTCAATTCCAGGTCCATATCTGCACTCCAAGCCAATATCTCCACTCCAGGCCCATATCTACAGTTCCAGGCCCATATCTCTACTCCAGGCCCATATCTCTACTTCAGGCCCATATCTACAGTTCCAGGCCCATATCTCCACTCCAGGCCCATATCTCCACCCCAGGCCCATATCTCCACTCCAGGCCTATATCTCCACTCCAGGCCCATATCTCCACTCCAGGCCCATATCTCCACTCCAGGCCCAGATCTCCACCCCACCGCTCCCTCCCTCGATTCCCTTCCAGGACTCACCAACACACGCCATGCTGACGACCATGAGCGACATGGTGCTGCCGGTGCAGACAGGCGGCTGCGCCCCAGCTCAGTTCAGCAGCACACAGGATGTTGTGAGGGGCTCATGCAGTTTACATGCTGACCACATCATGGGAGGATGACGTATGCAGGCTATTTCTACCTTGCATGAGGCCCAGTGGCTGTTTGGTCAAGAGCAGAACATGGCTTCCTGGAAATTGTTCCAACTAGAATTGACACCTTGCATCCTTCACTATAACCAACTCAAAACACGTCTCAGATCCAATCTCTCATACAGGAGATGACTGAATGCTTGGCTTACATTAAAGACTTTTGATGTATTTTTGTTGTTTTTATCTGAGATTCAAACTCTTCTTCATGTGCTATTTTCCCCAGGCTGTTCTTTGACTTCAGAGTTCAAGCAATCCTCCTGCCCCAGCATTTCTAGCAGCTGGCAGTATGTCACAATCTGCCACACCCAAGTCACAACTTTTAGAACTTTTTTTTTTTTTGAGATGCAATCTCACTTCGTCACCCAGTTTGGAATGCAGTGGTGAGACCTCGGCTCATTGCAGCCTCCACCTCCCAGGTTCACGCAATTCTCGTGCCTCAGCCTCCTAAGTAGCTGGATTTACAGGCACCCACCACCACGCCCACCTAATTTTTGTACTTTTAGTAGAGAGGAGGTTTCTCCATGTTGGCCAGGCTGGTCTTGAACTCCTAACCTCAAGTGATCTGTCTACTTCAGCCTCCCAAAGTGCTGAGATTACAGGTGTGAGCCACCATGCCTGGCCGGGACATTCTATATGTGTGCGTATGTGTGCATTTATATACATATGGTTATACACACACACACACACACACACACACACCCTAAGCACTCACATATATAGTTGTTTCAAATTTTAAAAAATATAAATTTTGTATTTTTCTTTCTTTTTCTCACATTTGTGTTTCTATGACACCATATACATATTGAATTTTATAGCTCTATTTTATTCTTTTGGATTGCAGTTTAATAGTCCATGCATAACTTTATCAACATGTAATTATCCATTCTTTTTATCATGGACATTTGTGTTGTTTCCGGATTTTCTCTTTTATAACTCGGGCCTTGATAATCGTGTTTCTGTGTGATCCCTTGCATACATATGCTGAATTAATTAGACATATTTACCTAGAAATGAAATTATTGGTTTTGGGTGCAAGTTGGTGTTGAGCTTAACCAGGAAGTGCCAAAATATTTCCATCATGACCAAATGTGGCCTGGAAAGTTTTTTGGGGTCAATTTTCCTGTTTCTTCTAAGGAACAAAATTGATGTCACTGATTTTTCTGTCCTGTTTGTCATTTATGAATGTATGTACATATGCACGTATATATTTGCTTGCCATTTTATGTTTTTCCTCGACGTTACTTTGGAATTAATTTGCTGATGTGTAGTATTTCTGCAAGTGAAAGTTACCTATTTACTCAGCTCTTCCTTCTTTTCTAACACAGACATTTGAGGCTTATTGTCCCTTAACGCTGTTCTATCTGTATCCCCAGTCATTTGCCGAGATGTGTTTTCATTTTTAATTGATACAAAATATTTTCCACCTTTCTTTGAAATGTTTTTCTTCCACTCATTGTTTATTGCTATGTGTGTTTATTAATTTTAAAATATTTGATAATTTCCCCAGCATTTCCTTGTTGTACATTTATAATTTAATTCAACTGTTTCATCTATCATATTACCTATGATTCAGCATTTAAAAATTTATTTTGGTGAATGTTCCAGGGGTGCTAGACAAGTTTGTGGATTAGGAAGATTTGAGGTGGATGTTTTCTAAATGTCAGTTAAGAAAAAAATCATTCAAATGTTTTTCTTTATTTAAAAAAAATAGAGACGGGGTCTCACTATGGTGCCCAGGCTGGTCTCAAACTCCTGGCCTCAAGTGATCCTCCCATTTTGGCCTCCCAAAGTGCTAGGATTATTGAAATTATTAAATGTTTCATATCAACACCCAACCTTATGCACCCGCCGCCTACACAAATGTTTTTCAAGTCTTTCATATGCTTAATAATTTTCTGTGTACTTGTTCTGGAAGTGAGGTGAATGTTGCTATCTCTAGCTGCAATTTGGATGTGATTGATTATGTTTTGAATTATGCCTTTAATTTAATGTGTTTTGAGGTTCCAGCTTTAAGTGTGTAGGCATTTAGGATGATTATGTCTTATTTATGAATTTGCCTCTTTGTCATTATGAAGTACTCCTCTTCATATCTCCATATATCTCTTCTTTGTATGTGCATGGTGAAATATTTCATTCTTTGAGTTAAGAAACTTCTATTGAGGAATACTTTTTATTACAAACATTTACCTATTCTATGTATACAACTGACTAGAAGCATATTTTGCACTGGGCATTATCATGACAAGGTAATGTCATTCTTTCAATATTTACATCTTGTGGATTAGTATTTGAAGTGCAGCTTATGTAGACAGCATAAGGTTGGGTGTTGATATGAAACATTTAATAATTGCACACGTATTTGCCTCTTGGGATACTTCCACTTTTTTGAATTTCAAGTTACTAAATGGTATCATTAATCTTTGCTTCAAGAGCTTAACATTTATTGTAGAACAATGCTTCATGTAATAAATTGTGAGACATTTTTAATGGCACCTTTATTGCAGGAAAATGTTTTCCTTTTCAGGTTGAAAGATTCTAGTTTGAAATATTTTCTTGTAGCACTTTAAAAATGTTGGTCCACCTGTTTCTTACTTTCATAGTTTTGAATACAAAGTTTGCTGTCATTCTTGTATTTCTTCTTCTGTTTTTTATTTATTTATTTTTGACAGAATATCTTGCCGTCTCACCCAGGCTGGAGTGCAGTGGCATGATCTTGGCTCACTGCAACCTCTGCCTTCCAGGTTTCAGCAATTCCTGCCTCAGCCTCCTGAGTAGCTGGGACTACAGGCATGCGCCACCATACCCAGCCAATTTTTTTTTTTGTATTTTTTTTTTGTAGAGATGAAGTTTTGCCATATTGGCCAGAACTCCTGACCTCAAATGATCCACCTGCTTTGGCCTCCCAAAGTGCTGGGATTACAGGTGTGAGCCACTGTGCTCAGGCTATTTATTCCTTTTTATATAATATGAATTCACATTCATACATACCAGGGGTTAGGATTTCAACAAACGTTTCTGGGGGAGACCACTCAAAACACAGCACTCATCCTTGGTTATTTCCAGCCATGGAGCCTGTATCAATATCCTGGTGAATTATCTAAGCTGTCCACCTACCTACCCCAAATCCTCATGGTCACATAAAAGGCTAGTATAGTATAATAATTTTTCTTTCCCTGCTTATCTACAGTGATGAAGAAACGAATATTCAAAGGGAAAAATCTTAGCTTTAGGTATAGGGTAATTCTTCTTCCTATTTTTAAATAACTTCAACCTTTACTGTAGATTAAAGGTATGCATGCAGGTTTGTTACATAGGCATATTGTGTGACTCTGAGGTTTGTGGTTCCAACAATGCCATCACCCAGGCAATGAGCATAGAATCCAACAGGTGTTTCTTCAGCCTATACCTCCCTACTCCTCCCCCCATCTGTAGTCCTCGGTATCTGTTGTTTCCATCTTTATGTTCATGTGTATTCAATGTTTGGTTCTCAGTTATAAGTGATAACATGTGGTATTTGGTTTTCTGTTCCTGGGTTAGTTCACTTAGGAGATTGACCTCCTGCTACATTCATGTTGCTGCAAAGGACATGATTTCATTATTTTTTATGGCCATGTAATGTTCCATGTGTATATGTAGCACATTTTCTTTAACTAATCCACTGTTGGTGAGCACTTAGGTTGACTGCAAATCTTTGCTATTCTGAATTGCACAGCAATGAATATACTAGTGCATGTGTCTTTTTGACATAGTTAATTACCTTCCTTTTGGTATATACCCAGTAGTGGGATTGCTTGATTGAATAGTAGTTCTATTTTAAGTTATTTGAGAAGTCTCCAAACTGCTTATCACATTGGCTGAACTAGTTAACATTCCCACCAAGAGTGTATAAGTGTTCCCTTTTCTCCACAATCTTGTCAGCATCTGTTATTAAAAAAAACAAAAAACTTTTTAGTAATTGCTTCTGCTTCTCTGATTGTTGTGAGATGGTATCTCACTGTGGTTTTAATTTGCATTTCTCTGATGATTACTGATAATAAGCATTTGTTCATATGTTTTTTGGCCATGTGTACATCTTCTTTTGAGAAGTGTCTGTTCATGTCATACTTAATTGAGGTTTTTTGGTTTTCTGCTTGTTGATTTGTTTACATTCCTTATAGATTCTGGATATTAGAACTTTGTCAGATGCATAGTTTGCAAATATTTTCTCCCAGTCTGTAGGTTATCTGTTTACTCTGTTGATACTTTCGTTTGCTGTGCAGAAGCTCTTCAGTTGAGTTAGGTCCCAATTTCTGTCTTTGTCACAATTGGTTTTGGGGAGTTAGCCATAAATTCTTTGCCAAAGTCTATCTTGAGAAGGATATTTCCTAGGTTTTCTTCTAGAATTTTAATATTTTGAGGTTTTACATTTAAATCTTTAAACTATCTTGGGTTAATTTTTGTATATAGTGAGAGTTAGGGGTCCAGTTCTATTATTTTGCATATGAGTAGTCAGTTATCCCAGAACTATTTATTGAAGAAAGGGTACTTTCCACATTGCTTGTTTTTGTCAATTTTTTCAAAGATGATTGTAGGTATGTAGCCTCATTTCTGGGTTCTCTATTCTGTCTCATTGGTCTATGTGTCTGTTTTTGTAGTAGTATCATGCTGTTTGGGTTACTATAGCATTGTAGTATAGTTTGAAGTTGGGTAATGTGATGCCTGGGCTTTGTTCTTTGTGCTTAGGATTCCTATGTGTATTCAGGCTCTTTTTTTGGTGCCAAATACATTTTAGAATAAATTTTTATAATTTCGTGAAAAATGACATTGCATTTTGAAATGGATAGCATTGACTCTGCAATTTGTTTTTGGAAGTATGGCGATTTTAACTATTTGTTCTCCTAATTCATGAGCATGGAATATTCTTCCATTTGTTTGTATCATTTCTTATTTCTTTCAGAAGTGTTTTGTAGTTCTCCTTGTAGAGAATTTTCACCTTCTTGGTTAGATGGATTCCTAGGTATTTTATTTTCTTTGTGGCTAGTGTAAATGGAATTGTGTTCTTGATTTAGTTCTCAGCTAGAATGTTAGTGGTGCATAGAAATGTTACTAATTTGTGTACATTTTTTTAATCCCGAAACTTTATTGAATTTGTTTATCAGTTTCAGGAGCCTTCTGACAGAGTCTTTAGGGTTTTCTATGTATAAAATTATTTCATCAGCAAAGAGAGACAGTATCACTACTTCTTTTCCAATTTTAATGCCTTTTATTTCCTTCTCTTGCCTGATTGCTTTGGCTAGGACTTCCAGTACCATGTTGAATTAAAATGGCGGGAGTGGTCATCTTGGTCTTGTTTCGGTTCTCAAGGGGTATGGTTCCAGCTTTTGCCCATCAATATGATGTTGGCTGTGGGTTTGTCATAGATGGCTCTTAATATTTTGAGGTATGTTCCTTTGATGCCTATTGACAGTTTTTATCATGAAGGGATGTTGGATTTTACAGAAAGCTTTTTTTGCATCTATTGAGATGATCATATAGTTTTTGTTTTTAATTATGTTTATGAGGTGAATCACATTCGTTGACTTTGTAGGTTGAACCAACCTTGCATCCCAAAAATAAAGCTTACTTGATCATGTGAATTAACTTTTGATGCACTGACAGATTCAATTTGCTAGCATTTTGTTGAGGATTTTATGTCTATGTTCATTAAGGATATTTAGTTGTAGTTTTCTTTTTTTCATTATGTCTCTGACAGATGTTGGTATCATGGTGATGATGGCTTCATAGAATGAGTTAGGAAGAAGCCCCCACTCCTTGATTTTTTCCAAAAGTTTCAGTAAGATCGGTATCAGTTCTTCTTTGTATGGCTGTTGGATTTTGGCTGTGAATCCGTCTGGTCCTGGGCTATTTTTAGTTAGTAGGGTTTTTATTACTGATTAAATTTCTGAACTTGTTATTGGTCTGTTCAGGTTTTCACTTTCTTCCTGGTTGAAATATGATAAATTTTGTGTTACCAGGAATTTATCCATTTCTTCTAGGTTTTC